>NC_000003.12:80313030-80616060 GCF_000001405.40 Homo sapiens
TGAAAGGAAGAGAAATCAAACAACTTAGAAGGCATGTTTTAGGATATTATTCATGAAATTTTCCCCAACTCCACTAGAGAGGGAAACATTCAAATTTAGAAAATTCAGAGACCCTTGGTGAAATACTACCAAAGAAGACCATCCCCAAGACACATAGTCCTCAGATACTCCAGGGATAAAATGAAAGAAAAAAAATGTTAAAGGCAGCTGGCGAGCAGATCTTCTACAAAAAGGAGCCCATCAGACTAACAGAGGTACTTTCCACAGAAATCTTACAAGCCAGAAGAGAAAGGAGACCTATGGTCAGCATTCCTAAATAAAAGCATTTCCAACAAAGAATTACATATCCAACCCAAATAAAGTTCATAATTGGAAGAGAAATAAGATTATTTTCAGACCAGCAAATGCCAAGGGATTTTGTTACAATAAGGCTTGCCTTACAAGAGATCCCAAAGGGAGTGCTAAACATTACCAGCTGCTACAGAAACACACTTACGTACATAGACCAGTGACACTATAAAGCAACCAACCAAACAAGTCTGCATAATAACCTGCTAATAACATGATGACAGGAACTCATTTGCACATATCAACATTAACTTTGAATATAAATAGGTGGAAGTCCCCCAATTAAAAGGCAGAGTGGCAAATTGGATAATGAAGCATGACTGAATGGTATGCTGTCTTCAAGAGACCCATCTCCCATGCAGTGACACGAAGAGGCTCAAAGTAAAGGGGTGGAGAAAAATCTAGCAAGCAAACAGAAAACAGAAGAAAAGAAGGGGTTGCTGTTCTAATTTAAGACAAAGTGGACTTTAAACCAGCAAAGATTAAAAAAGATGGAGAAGGGCATTGCATAATGGTAAAAGATGCAATTCCACAAGGAGACCTAAATAATCTTTAATATGTATGCACCCCAAACGGGAGCACCATATTCATAAAGCAAGTTCTTAGACACTTACAAAGAGACTTAGGCAGGCACACAATAATGATTGGAGACTTCAGTGCTTCACTGGCAGTATCAGAAAGGTCACTGAGGCAGAAAACTAATAAAGGTATTTAGGACCTGAACTCAATACTTGACCAAAAGAACCTAATAGATACATACAGAATGCTCCACCCAAAACCAGAAGAATATACGTTACCTTTTATTTGCACATGGCATATACCTTAAATTGACCATATAATCAGACATAAAACAATCCTCAGCAAATTCAAAAAATCTGAAATTATACCAACCACAGTCACAGACCACAGGACAATAAAAATAAAAATGAATCTTAAGGAAATTGACAGGTGAGAGCGTGCTGGCAGTCCTCACAGCCCTGGCTTGCTCTCGGCACCTCCTCTGCCTGGGCTCCCACTTTGGCGGCACTTGAGGAGCCCCTCAGCCCACCCCTGCACTGTGGGAGCCCCTTTCTGGGCTGGCCAAGGCTGGAGCCGGCTCCCTCAGCTTGCGAGGAGGTGTGGAGGGAGAGGCGCAGGCTTCCCCTGTGGTGCTTGTGGGCCAGCGTGAGTTTCGGGTGGGCGTGGGCTCCGCAGACGCTGCACTTGGAGCAGCCGGCCGGCCCCACCGGTACTGGGCAGTGAGGGGCTTAGCACCTGGGCCAGCAGCTGCTGTGCTTGATTTTTCGCCTGGTCTTAGCTGCCTCCCCACAGGGCAGGGCTCGGGACCTGCAGCCCGCCATACCTGAGCCTCCCCCACTCCGTGGGCTCCTGTGCTGCCCAAGCCTCCCCAATGAGAGCCGCCCCCTGCTCCACAGCGCTCAGTCCCATGGACCACCCAAGGGCTGAGGAGTGCGGGCGCACAGCGCGGGACTGGCAGGCAGCTCCACCTGCAGCCCCAGTGTGGGATCCACTGGGTTAGTGAAGCCAGCTGGGCTCCTGAGTCTGGTGGGGACGTGGAGAATCTTTATGTCTAGCTCAGGGATTGTAAATACACCAATCAGCACTCTGTATCTAGCTCAAGGTTTGTAAACACACCAATCAGCACCCTGTGTCTAGCTCAGGGTTTGTGAATGCACCAATCCACACTCTGTATCTAGCTACTCTGGTGGGGCCTTGGAGAACCTTTGTGTGGACACTCTGTATCTAGCTAATCTGGTGGGGACATGGAGAACCTTTGTGTCTAGCTCAGGGACTGTAAACGCACCAATCAGCACCCTGTCAAAACAGACCACTCAGCTCTACCAATCAGCAGGATGTGGGTGGGGCCAGATAAGAGAATAAAAGCAGGCTGTGGGAGCCAGCATTGGCAACCCACTCGGGTCCCCTTCCACACTGTGGAAGCTTTGTTCTTTTGCTCTTTGCAATAAATCTTGCTACTGCTTACTTTTTGGATCCACGCTGCCTTTATGAGCTGTAACACTCACCGTGAAGGTCTGCAGCTTCATTCCTGAAGCCAGCGAGACCACGAACCAACCAGCAGGAATGAACAACTCCAGACGCGCCGCCTTAAGAGCTGTTAACACTCACCGCGAAGGTCTGCAGCTTCACTCCTGAGCCAGCAAGACCACGAACCCACCAGAAGGAAGAAACTCCGAACACATGTGAACATCAGAAGGAACAAACTCCTGACACACCGCCTTTAAGAACTGTAACACTCACCGCGAGGGTTCACAGCTTCATTCTTGAAGTCAGTGAGACCAAGAGCCCACCAATTCTGGACACAAAACCACTCATAACCATATAATTACATGGAAATTAAACAACCAGCTTCTAAATGACCTTTAGGTAAATAGTAAAATTAAGACAGAAATCAAGACTTCATTTGAAATTTATGAGAACAAAGATATAACATACCAGAATCTCTGGGACACAGCTAAAGCATTGTTAACTGGGAGGGTTATAGCATTAAATGTCCATATCAAAAAGTTAGATCTTAAATTAATAATCTAACATTACAACTAGAGGAATTATAGAAACAAGAGCAAACCAAAGCTAGCAGAAGACAAGAAATAGTCAAAATCAGATCTGAACTGAAGGAAATTGAGGTGAGGAAAACCATACAAAAGATCAACAAATCCAGGAGTTGTTTTTTTTTTTTTGAAAAAAAGTTTAAATAGACAGACCAATACTAGACTAATATAGAAAAAAGCAGAGAGGATTCAAATAAACACAATTAGAAAAGACAAAGGGGACATTTCCACTGACCCCAGATAAATACAAAAAAAAAAATTCAGAGACTATTATGAACAACCATATGCACACAAACTAGAAAATCTAGAAGAAATGTATACATTTCTGAACACATGCAAGTTCCCAAAACTGAATCAAGAAGAAATTGAATCCCTGAACAGGCCAGTAACAAGTTCCAAAATCACATCAGTTAAGAAGCCTGCCAACCAAGATAGCCCAGGACCAGGTGAATTCACTGCCGAATTCTACCAGATGTGTAAAGGAGTGTCGGTACCACTCCTAATAAATCTATTTTTAAAAATTGAGAGGAGGAACTCTTTTCTAACTTTTTCTATGAGGCCAGCATCACCTTGATACCTAAACCTAGCAGAGAGACAACAACAACAATGTACTTCATTCCAATATTCTTGATGAACACAGATGCAAACTTCCTCAACAAAACAGTAGGAAACCGAGTCCAGAAGCACCTTAAGAAGCAAATTCACCACAATCAAATTGGCTTTATCTCTGGGATGCAAGGTTGGTTCAACATATGCAAATTGATAAATATGATTCATCACATAAACAGAACTAAAAACAAAAAGCGCATAATCATCTTGGATATTGAAAGCAGAAAAGGCTTTCAATAAAATTCAACATATCTTTATGTTAAAAGCCCTCAACAAACTAGACACTGCAAGAAGATATGTCAAAATAATAACTGTCTGTGACAAACCCGCAGCCAACATCATACTGAATGAGCAAAACCAGAAAATATTCCCTTTGTAAATTGGAACAAGGCAAGGATGAGCTATCTCAACACTCCTATTCAACTAGTACTGCAAGTCCTGGACAGAGTAATCAGGCAAAAGACACAAGTAAAAGACATCTAAATAGGGCGAGAGGGAGTCAAACTATCCCTGTTTGCTGATGATATGATTGTATACCTAGAAAGCCCTATAGTCTCTGCCCCAAAGGTCCTAGATGTGAAAAAAAAAGAAAAAAACTTCCGCAAAGGTTCAGGATACAAAATCAATGTACAAAAATTAATATCAATGTAAATATATAAAATATATAATTTAAATATAAATATATAAAACATATAAAATTTCTATACACCAAAATCATACAAGCTGAGAGCCAATCAAGAATCCAATTCCATTCATAAGTCACAAAAAGAATAAAATACCTAGGAATACAGCTAACCAATGAGGTGAAAAATCTCTACAATGAGAATTACAAAATGCTACTCAAAGCAATTAGAGGTGACACAAATAAATGGAAAAACATTCCATGCTCATGGACAGGAAGAATCAATATTGTGAAAATGTTATTATTTCCCAAAGCAATTTATAGATTCAGTGCTATTCCTATCAACCTACTAATGACATTCTTCACAGAACTAGAAAAAAACTATTTTGAAATTTATATGGAGCTAAAAACGAGCCCAAAGAGCCAAGGCAATTTTAAGTTAAAAGAACAAAGCTGGAGGCATCACATTACCTGACTTCAAACTATACTAAAAGCTTACAGTAATCAAAACAGCATGGTACTGGTACAGAACAGACACATTGAACAATGGAGCAGAATAGAAAACCCAGAAAATAAGACCACACGCCTACAACCATCTGATCTTTGACAAAGTCGACAAAAACAAGCAATGGTGATGGACTTCCTATTCAATGAAAGGTGATGAGATAACTGGCTAGCTGTATGCAGAAGATTGAAACTGGGCCTCTTTCTTACACCATATACAAAAAGCAACTCAAGGTGAATTAAAGACTTAAATGTAAAACCTAAAACTATAAAAACCCTGGAACATAACCTAGGAAATAACATTCTGAACACAGAACTGGGCAATTATATCATGACGAAGATGCTGAGAGCAATTGCATCAGGAACAAATAATTGACAAATGGAACCTAATTAAACTAAAAAGCTTTTCACAGCAAAAGAAACTATCAAAAGAATAAACAGACAACCTACAGTATAGGAGAAAATATTTGCAAACTGTACATCTAACAAAAGTGCAATATGTAGCATCTATAAGTAACTTAAATTTACAAGCCAAAAACAATCCCATTGAAAAGTGGACAAAGGACATGAACAGGCATATTCAAAATAAGATACACATGCAGTCAACAAGCAGATGAGAAAATACTCAGTATCACTAATTATTTGAGAAGGGCAACTCAAAACCACAATGAGATACCATATTACACTACTCAGAATGGTTATTACTAAAAAGTCAAAAAAATAACAGATGCTGGTGAGGTTGTGGAGAAAAGGGAATGCTTATACACTACTGGTAGGAATGTAAATTAGTTTAAATCATTATTCTGGAAAGTAGTTTGGCAATTTCTGAAAGAACATAAAACAGAGTTGCTATTCAACCTCTTGTTAGCAATCTCACTATTGGGTAGTCTGGATAAAGAAAATGTGTTACATCTATACCATAGAATATTACATAGCCATAAAAATGTACCAGATCATGTACTTTGCATGAACATGAATGGAGCTAGAGTCCCTTATCCTAAGTAAACTAACACAGGAACAGAAAAACAATTACCACATATTTTCACTTATAATTGGAATCTAAACACTGAGTACCTATGGATACGAAGAACGGAAAAACAGACACCGGACCTACTTGAGGGTGGAGGTTGGGAGGAGAGTGAGGATCAAAGAACTACCTATTAAATACTATGCTCATTACCTGGGTAATGAAATAATCTGTACACCAAACCCCCAGGGAAACCATAACCTAGGGAAAGTAAACCCTACAAACTAGGAAATACCTGGGAGTTTGGTATACACATTATTTCATCACCCAGAAATAACAAACCTGCATGTGTACCTGTGAACCTAAAATAAAAGTTTTAAAAAAAGAAAAGCATGAATCATTCGAAAGCTTTAATAATTTAAGAAGTGTACACACACACTTTTTAAAGCAGATAGTTTAACTTGGGCAAATTCCTGGTGATGCTGCCAAGTGTTGTGAGGTTCTGGCTACAGCCCTCAGACAAAGCAATTTTCTTATGTGGCTTTTTTTTGTGGTATTTATAAAACAAAGTGAACTTGTAACTGTGTGCCTGCATGGTGAGACACTAGAGGGAAAGAGAGGAAACACTTGGAACCCAACCCATTAAAACTAACTAAAGAGCTTTTCGTTTCAAAATATCTGCTCAAGGGAAAACTATAGTCTCTGACAGTTCAAAGTAAAATCCTACATCTCTCCATCCCCAACTCACAAAATATTATTACTGAATAAGAATGCCACAATGTGATCTGGCGTGTGTGTGTGTGTGTGTGTGCATGTGTGTGTGTGTGTCAGACAGAGTGTGTTATAGAAAATAATTATTTATTAAAATTTTATATTGACTTATAGCCTGTAGATACTGAGTGGGTTTCTATAGAGATCCACAAATTAGACATTTTCTCTTGTTGTAGATCGAACGCTCTATTTTTTATGTTAGAATTGGAAAACTTAGAAAATAAAAATAATTTGATAATATTCAGCCATTTCCATTTCTTCTGTTTTCAACGTAGACAAATGGGTGCTTACCCATATAATTTTATTTTTCCTATTTTTCTGAAGTCTTAGAAATTTGAAGATTTAAAAAATCCTCAAAAGTAAAATTTCCCAATTGATTTTTCTGACTTTAATTCAAACTAGAAAAAAATATGATGTCCCCAAATTAATAATTATTATAAGCTTTGAGACTCATTCAATTGGGGTTTAACTGAAAGATAAATATTATTGGAAAGATTTGGCAAAACTGAATTTGACTTAGATATTGTCTAAAGAGTTTTGTTTTTGGAAAGATTTCGTGAAACTGAATTTGACTTGGATATTGTCTAAAGAGTTTTGTTTCTGAAAATACAATGATTGCTTGATAGAATGGTTGCTTGAAAGTCTCTATTTGAACCTTTTATTAGCCATGTGATTCTATGTGTTAATTTCATTTATTATGGGAGCAATTGGCTGATTATAACCATCAACAGATGCATAGATAAAGAAAATGTGGTATATATACACAATGGAATACTATTTAGCCATACGAAGAATAAAATATGGTCATTTGAGGCAACATAGATAAGCCTGGAAGGCATTATGTTATGAGAAATAATTTAGGCACAGAAGGAGAAATATGAAAGGTGGATTAGATAGATCTGTTCATCTGAAAATATTATTCAACATAAGGTTGGCATGTGTCAGATGGCAACAATAGTCAAAATATTTTCTTTTTAAAAAATAGGTTCTAAATAATCCTCTAAATTTGTATGACTTTAATGGAACGTTTTTGTGCAGTATTGGCTTTTTATGAGCATCTGAATTTAACGCGGGAAAATTTTACATTGTTGTATAAGACATGCTTATAAATTCACATGAAAACTTAATACTACAACTTAATAAGTGGTGGGTTTTTATATACCCAATTGAGGAAATGCAGTGTATTGTAACCTATACAGCCCTATCACAATAAAATTGGGAGCCAAATGGCCTTTGTTACAATGTTGATTGCCTGAATTTATTTCTGAGATAAAATAGTTTCCATTTGACTTGATTTGTGAAAAGATGTATTTCTAAATTTGTAAAATCTTAATCACAGTGGATAATTTCTTTTTTTTTTTTTTTTTTTTTTTTTTTGAGACGGAGTCTCGCTCTGTCGCCCAGGCCGGACTGCGGACTGCAGTGGCGCAATCTCGGCTCACTGCAAGCTCCGCTTCCCGGGTTCACGCCATTCTCCTGCCTCAGCCTCCCCAGTAGCTGGGACTACAGGCGCCCGCCACTGCGCCCGGCTAATTTTTTGTATTTTTAGTAGAGACGGGGTTTCACCTTGTTAGCCAGGATGGTCTCGATCTCCTGACCTCATGATCCACCCGCCTCGGCCTCCCAAAGTGCTGGGATTACAGGCGTCGAGCCGCGCCCGGCCTGGATAATTTCTTAAGCAGTCTCTTTGACTTAGGAGCAACTCTAATGAATATGAAGGCTGTCAAATAATTTATTTAATAAGTGCTAAAATGGGCCGGGCACAGTGGCTCACAACTGTAATCCCAGCACTTTGGGAGGCTGAGGCAGGCAGATCACCTGAGGCCAGGAGTTTGAGACAAGCCTGACCAACATGGAGAAACCCCGTCTCTACTGAAAATACAAAAATTAGCCAGGCGTGGTGGTGGGCGCCTGTACTCCCAGATACTCGGGAGAGAGACAGGTCAATCACTCTGTCTCAAAAAAAAAGTGCAAAATGATTTGATACCTAAATTATTGTTAAAAGGCAGAAGGTGAGGGCAAAAAGAATGTCTCCCTTAAAAGAAAGGCTAATATTAATCTCAAGAATTATTTTGTTTTTAAAGTACATAGATATAAAT
Organism: Homo sapiens; assembly: GCF_000001405.40. Taxonomy (NCBI): domain Eukaryota; kingdom Metazoa; phylum Chordata; class Mammalia; order Primates; family Hominidae; genus Homo; species Homo sapiens. Next base: position 80,321,521 of record NC_000003.12, read on the forward strand.
TTGGACTTCTAGAGACATGAAAGTTTTTGATATTGTGGTTTTGCAGATAAAATATATTCTTAAAGTCAAAATAGAATCAATTTAATGAATGAGAGAAGAAAAAAGTATTCTGAAATAAAGAATATGTATGATTGCATTATTTATCAGGAATTGTATTCTAAAAGATATATATTTTCTCTGACCATTTTATGTTATGCCATTTTAAATTACATTTAAGATTGTGCTAATGTAAAACATAGACATGAGAAATAGAAATAAAAAGAAAATAAAGTATTACAGAGATGTGGTTTTTCACTTTAAAAAATAGCACAATTGCTTTTACTTTTGGAATACATTTCTAAAGGAATCATAAGCTTTGCACACAAATCATTTAAACCAAACACTAAAGATTTACTTTATGAAACAATACACACTAATTTGCAATGAATAGAAAATAAAATAACTGGAATTTTCTTCCACATGCATTTTTATTTTAATAGCAACAGATAGAAATATATACATATATTTCTATAATGTTCTGGAAATGTATATTAGATCACACTTTGAAACATATTTTGTTTGTGGGTTAAACTATCGGCCAATTAACTCATGTAGCATAGTATAAGAATTGAGTATAGATACCCAAAATTTAGGTGTGAGTTTGTCAAATAATAGAAATGAAATAAAAATACAACAAAGTAGCCAATAATACATAGTATATCCACATATATAGGTATATATGCTTGTGTGTGTATTCTGGCACTACAAATAGATAAATACAAAGAAAGAAGTAAATAAAGTCTTATGATTGAATGATAATGATTTTAATCAAATAAACTAAGCTTTCTGGATCAAACTTATGTAACATTTTTTTTCTAATGATCTGATGTATAATTCTTTTAATCATGAGATGTGTTCTTTGTGCCTCAATTATTTGACATTCTTATGAAGTTGACAATATTAGTGATAATTTTATTCTTAATATTTCATATATCCATCTATACACACACGTATATGGGTATGTGTGTGTAGTCTATTTATAAATTTAAGAATTTTGAGAAAACACTAGAAATGTCATAGCAAGTATTATTCTTGAAATAGAAATTAATTAAAATAGTTCTCTTAGCAAACTGTGAGTTTAAATAATGTCTAAACATAAAAACAATTACTTATTCACAAGCATGTGGAATTTTGTTTTAGATAAATAACATAATGGTTTATAAACACATTCACAAATAATCTCTTTCTTTAAAAAGGGCAACAGAGGGTAGGTAGAGATTGTTAAATATGCAGTTTTTTGACGCAAAATTTTCTACTAAAGTGTTGGAAAGCATATATTGGTTTTTAACTCAATAGTTTCAATTTGAGAATAAAGCTTTGATTATTTATCTTTTTTTTTAGTGTAATTAGAACAAAATTACATTGCATTTTCATTGAATTGCCTAATATCTCCTAAAGTAATATCATGCCGATGTATGCTATAATAAGTGAATAATATAAATTGTAATAAACTTACAAAAACCACTAATCTTCTAATCGTGTACAAAGCATACAATTTTCAAAGATATGTTGCATCAGCTGTAAATATAATGGTCAATGAACTCAAAGGTGTATACTCAGAAGTACTGTATTAAAACTGTTCTTACATAATGATATTTAAGTATTAATGATATGGCTTATATAATCCATTAAAAATTCTCTTACAAATATATTATGGCAGAGTGAGTTATCTGTATTATATAAGCATTGTTATGGGAAAAATTAAAAATACTCTATTTATCCTGGTAGTATTTTTAAAACAAAAGGTATTAGTGGTGTGACATGTGATGAACAATTTAATCTTCAATAATTTTTAAGCTTTAAATCCTAGAAAATATGATGTGCCTACAGCTGTTCTTTGAAAATAAACATTATTTTAAAGGTTTAAAACAGAAATACCTGGACTGTTGTATGTATTAGCTTTGAAGAAAGGCAATGGAAAATAAGAAAAGGAGAAAGAAACAAAACAGGGCAAAGGGAAAAGACAGATTAAAGCAATAATTATATAGACTTTGCTTGAATGTACAATTAATAAGTCAAAATTCTTATATCAATGTGTTAAATTATGTATGGATTTTATGCTATTTAAAGAAAATCAGTATCTTTGAAAAACGTAAACATGATGTTCTGAGCTCTCAGAATAAAATAGCAGCACTAAAAATATTAGATGTAAGATTTTAAAATTAAATATAGAGATCATCTTAAATTGACATTTGACTTATTTATTTAAAAAATTATAAATGTATGGTTTTGTTTCTTAAATAATATATTCATAGTGTTAATTCACCCAGAAAACAATATCAAATCTATAAATTGTTTCTAGTTAATTCAGTAATTTTTTGGTCAGAAATTTTCATGTATTCGTTATCAAATATCAAATATGTAAATTATATTATAGCTGTGCATTTTACCATGTAAAAGTCTAAGTGTGACCTAAAAGGATATGTAAAATTAAGTGTGACATATAGATTGCATTTAAAGGGGGGATGAGAATGTAATGCAGTAGATGTTTCATTAAGGAGAAAAAATAAAAGAATTCTTTTGAAGACTTTTGTGGCTCCAAGAAGCCAAATAAATCACCATTGTATCTTTACAGAACTGAATTATTTCCATATCATAGAATAAATCTAAAATGGTGGCTATAGTAATGAGTATACCCAAACAACATTAATACTTCAATTACTAATAGTAGTGTATACTGCAAACATGTCCTAATGTGTTTTCAGAAGCATTGGGGAAAGGAAATTAGACATGTAGGCTCACACAGAGCAGGATATATAAATTACTCAGAGATTGTGTTTCACCTCTGTTTGAGTCTATAAATCTATATGAAAAATTTGAAGACTGGATTTTGATATGGCATTATTGGAATTAATAACACTGAAAAATGTATAGCATACATGCACTCCTTGGCAAAAACAAAAGAAAAAAAAAAGATTTTCTCTATCCAAAAGGATGTGATATTTCTTTTCTATTTCTCTTCGTATGTTGGAGTTCTTATTTTATTAATACCATTTTAAATAATATAAAATGAGTTTGTTAATATCAAAATGCCTTTAGAAAATTTAAGTAAAACTATATTTTAAAAAGACCTATTAATTTAGATATCATACTACATAATAATTGTATTTTTTAAACTTGTGGTAGATATTATTTCCCATGATTTATAAATTAGAGCTTTAAAAAGTGACATCTTATTCATTATTGAATACATCCTGAGGCTCTCACCAGAAGCAGATGCCAGCACTATTTACTTAATTTGTGTACAGCCTGCAGAACTGTGAGCCCAATAAACCTCATTTCTGTATAAATTACCCAGCCTTGGGTATTCCTTTTTAGCAATGCAAATAGGCTAACACAGAAAACTGGTACTGAGGAGAGGGACATTGCTGTAAAGATAACTGAAAATGTAAAAGTGGCTTTGGAACTGGGTAAGAGGTTGAGATTGGAAGAGTCTGGAGGACTCAGAAGAAGACATGAACATAAGGGAAACTTGGTGACTTCTTAGAAACTTGTTAAGTCGTTTTGACCAAAATACCTATAGAAATATGGACAGCAAACTCCAAGCTGAAGAGTTCTCAAATGGAAATGAGAAAGTTGTTGAGAAATTGGAGTAAGGGTCATCCATGTTATGGCCTAGCCAAGAATGTGGCTGTCATATTGTGTCTATGCCCCGGGAATCTGTGGAAGTTTGAACTTCAGAGTAGTGATGACTTAAGGTATCTGGCAAAAGGAATTTCTAAGCCACAGTGTTCAAACGTTGGTATGAGTGCTTCTAACAAACTGTGATCAGATACAGGAGCAAATGAATGACTTAAAGTTAAACTCATATTTAAAAGGAAAGCAGAGCATAAAAGTTTAGACAGTTTGCAGCATGACTATGTGGTGAAGAAGGAAAAAACATTTACAGCGGAAGAATACAGGTGGTCTGTGAGCAACCACTTGCTAGGGAGATTTGCCTGACTAAAATGGAGCCAGGTGCTAATAGACAAGGCAACGGCAAAAAGGCCTTGTAGGCATTTCAGGGATCTTTGAGGCTGGCCTTCCCATCAGGGGCCTAGGAGGCCAAGGAGAAAATAATGGTTTCAGGGAATAGGCCTGAGGCCCCACTTTTTTATGCAGCCTTGGGACTCACCTTGTTCCAGCAGCTCCAGTTCCAGCCACAGCTCAAAAGGTCCAAGTACAGCTCCAGTTGCCACTTTGGAGAACACAATCTCCCATATGCCCTGGCAGCTTTGACATGGTGTTAAGTCTGCAGATGCATTGAATGCAAGAGTGAAGGAGGCTTGACAACATCTGCCTAGATTTTAGAAGACGTATGGAAAGGCCTGGGTGCCCAGGACCAAGTTTGCTGCTGGGGCAGAGTCCTCATTTGAAGTCCCTACCAGGGCACTGCCTAGTGGAGCTGTGGGAAGGAGGCCACTGCCTTCCAGACTGGAGAATAGTAGACCCACCGGCAGTGTACACCTTAAGCCTGGAAAAGCTGCCAGCACTCAGCTTCAGACCCTGTGAGAGCAACCACAGGGCTGCAACCTGCAGAGCTACAGGGGTAGAGCTGCCCAAGCCCTTGGGAGCTGCCCATTTACATCAGTGTGCCCCTGGATGTGAGGCACGGAATCAAGGATTATTTTGGAGCTTTAAGATTTAATGTCTGCCCTATGGGGTTTTAGACTTGCATGGGGCCTGCTGTGCCTTTCGCTTGGCTGATTTCCCTGTTTTGGAATGGAAATACTTAACCAGTTCCTATACTACCACTGTATCTTCAAAGTAAACACTTTATTTTACTGGCTCATAGGAGGAAGGAACTTGACTCAAGTTTCTGATTAGACTTTGGACTTTTTATTGAATTGATGCTTTAATGAGTTAAGACTTTTGGGGACTATTAGGAAGAGATGTTTATATTTTGCAATGAAAAGCACATGAGATTTGGTGGGACAGGGAAATAATATTATGGTTTGGATATTTGTCCCCTCCAGATCTCATATTGAAATGTGACCCTTAATGTTGGAGATGGGGCCTAGTAGGAGGTGTTGGGTCATGGGGATGGATTCCTCATGAGTGGCTTAGTGCCGTGTCTACAGTAATGACTGTTAATACTTTCACAAAAGATGTGGTTGTTTAAAAGAGCGTGGCATCTCCCCTCTTCTTCTCACTTGCTCCTTCGCTCACCCTGTGACACACTGGCTCCCCTTCACCTTCCACAATCATTGTAAGCTTCCTGGGGCCCTCACCAAAAGTAGATGTATGCACTATGCTTTATGTACAGCCTGCAGAATCATGAGCCAAATAAACCTCTGTTCTTTATAAATTACCCAGCCTCAGGTATTACTTTATGGCAGCAAAAAGAGACTAACACCTAAGAGTGCTGGCCTTAAATAGTAAATGTTTTTCTCATCCGCAAACACAAAGTTTTTACATAAATCATCTTATATTCTCTGCCATTTCCAAAATTTTATGAATTGGTCAATGTAGCTTTGGGGAAACACTCTCGTACATTTCTGGTGAAAATACAAATTGGTACAATACTTATGGAGTAGAATTGAACTATCTAACAAAATGGCGTAAACATTTATTTTATCACTAAAAAATTTCTCTTTCTAGGAGTTTATGTTGAACATACCCTTCCAGTATATGAAAGTATAGGTGCATAAAATTATGCATTACAACATTGTTTGTAAGTGCATCATAACAGAAACAGTTTAAATGGCTATACATAGAAGAGTGGTTAATAAAGTGTTATAGTCACAAAATCATTACGCAACTGTAAAATGGATGAAAAGATCTATATGAACTGATGAGTTATTTTTTAAAAATGGAAAATAGTATCTATACATACAGAGAAATAATACTTTGTGAAAAAAATAGTAAAACATAATATGTATGTATTTGCTCCTGCATAAAGTGATGAGGAAACATAGGAAACATAAACTAGAGACCAATAATTTAATTACTTACATTGGAATGAGTGCATAAAGGGTAGAAAAAATAGAAGTGATAAGGACTGGGAATGAAACTTCCGTTAGTAGACTTTTAACAGTATGATTTTCAAATTTATGTTGTTTCAACAGCTGAAAAAAATTTTAAACACATAAATCAAAAGGAATAGTAAAACATACTCATAAACAGACATAAATTAAAGTGTATTTCAAAAAAATAGGATTAATATACTAAAGGAGGAAGAAAAAACCTTAAGAGTATTAGAACTGTATACTCTTAGACTAAACACATGTAGTGTACTTTGGTTAGCTGCTTCATTTTTCTATACTTTCATTGTTCACAATGAGAAAAGCACTTTCCATGTATTCCAGGATTGAGTAATATATTGTGGAAAATAAAATTCAAATGTGTCATTATCAGAGGAAAGAGTTAAAATATAGAAATAGGGTGTTGAATTACAATTGATACATGGATAGATAGATACAGACAGATGGAAAGACATTGACATGGATATAGAAGAGATGTTTTTAAATATGTGTGAATGCATGCCTATACATTTTTCCACCTCCTAGGTCTGTCTTTTGAGATAGCTTAGAAGAAATGACCTCTAGTAGCACTGAGCACAATTAGTGCCCACATTTTTGTTCCTGCATATAATTCTCTACCAAAGTGATCTAGAGATTCTTCATGAAATAGTTGATTCTAGGGCTTGATGAGATAATTCTAGATAAACTTTTTGTGCCAACAAGTCTGTTAATGCAGTGTCTTTAAGCACTTTAAAGAATGACGGGGATACATCAAAGGACTTGAAAGTCAATGGAAGAAAGTGTCTAGTGGGTCATTCAGGAAAATTTGAGTTTCAAATAAATAATGTAGGTAAGTAATTATAACATGTTGAATAAAATAAGAATCTATGAACCTATATTGATATAAATAAATTAGTAAACACAAAAATAAATAAGTAATAAGGTTCTTCCTTACAGTGGAAAGATAAATAAAATATGTAGGAGGATTGACAGAATAATAAACCTTGTCATTTGAAAATCATAAAAATAATAATAGCTGACTCAGGAATCATCAATGAATACCAAAATTAGCATTTGAAAGTTTGAAGAGCAATAGCTTATTAGCAATCATCCTAAAATATATCACCACAAAATAGTTGTGAATTAGACTGGGTTAACTAATACTTTTGGAGTAGAGAAGATTGGCATACATCAGCTTTACTGAATGATAAAAAATTCAGATCTACAGTAGTAGGACCAAAAGGACTCATAAGTCTCTTCATGAAAACACACTGAAAGAAACACAACATAATTTCTGGACTATTCAATCCATAAATGTAATGCTTGAATCTAATCATGAGGGATAATCAGACAAACCAAAATTGAGCAATATATTATGAAGTAACTGGCCAAAAATGTTAATGTCATAACAGACAAAAGAAGAACTGCTTGAGATTAAAGACAAGAGTCTTGTCAATGGAATAAAATAGCTAATGTGGAACTTCCTTTTGATTTAAGTGAAACTATTAGAACTTACTATAAATAAGGCCTATAGAGAAGATCAAGGTATTGTGCCAATGTTAGCTTTCTTCTTTTGTGTTTATCTAAGAGAATGTCCTGGTTTGCTAGGATCTACACACTGGTAACATGTCAATGCTTTAGAAATCTATCCTGTACCTAGATTAATAGTATTGTTCTTGCAGATTTCGATAAATCTAAAGTTATTTTCAATAAAACCTTAAAAATTGAAATTTCAACTGAAACATTTCTAACATTGATAATTCTATCAGAATTCTTTCACATTTAACTAAGTCATCCTCCCATTTTACATATAGAATAAACTTTGAAAGTTGTTTCCTAGTAGAAAATGCATAATTTTAACAAATTTACATAGCATAGCATTTTCCACACTTGTTGTTACAGTAATAATTGGTGAATAATTAAATAGGTAATTGATATCACAGAGTTTTAAATCAAAGTTCAGAGATTTGAGTTCAAATCCACATTATATCATTTCCTAGCTCTGTATCAATGAATAAATTATTAAATCTATCTTTATATGGTTTCTTAATTTTTAAAATGAGCATTTTAATATTACCTAAGACATAGAACCCAACAACATCACAAGCATGACACTGTAAATTAAAATGAAACATTCCTCCAGGTGCACACACACACAGCCTAACAACTCTCACACTAAACAGTAAATACATATGTGCCAGAAAGAATTTTAATATAGTCACAGCATATTCATCCCCTGATGTACATGCACTGTATAATCCCCACCCTTGAGTGTGAGAGGACTTATAAATGTGATGAAACGACCCTCCCATGATTGTGTTACTTTATATGGCAACAGTGACAGGATCATGAAAAAGTTATTAAGGTCCTAAATCAATTAATGTTGAGTTAATCCAAATAACTGGTTATCCTAAGCAGGTGATATGGTTTGCATGTCTGTTTCTTCCAAATCTCATGTTAAACCATGATTTCCAGTGTTGAAAGTGGGTCACGGTAGAAGGTGATTGGATCATGGGGAAGGATCCCTCAAGAATGATTATCACCATCCCTTTGGTGAAGTGAGTTCTCACTCAGTTAGTCCACATGAGATCGGGTTGTTTGAAAGTCTGGGACCTCCTCCACTCTCTCTCTTACTCCTGTTCTCACATGTGTCATGCTGGCTCCCTGTTGCTTTCTACCATTACTGTAAGCCCCCTGAGGCCTCAGCAGAAGCTGAGCAGGTGCCAGCACCAGGCTTCCTGTAAAGCCTGAAGAGTAGTGAATCAACTAAACTTCTTTTCTTCATAAATTACCCAGCCTCAGGTATTTCTTTATAGCAATGCAAGAACAAACTAACACAGTGGGCTTGATTTAGTCAGATGAAAGCTTTCATAGAGAAATTGAGAAATTCATGATGAGCGTGATTCTTCTGCCAGCTTTGAAGAAGTAAGGTGCCTCCTTCCACAAGAACCTGTGAAATGATCATGACTAGCAACACAGGGCCCTCTAGGAGCTGAGAGGAGTCCCAGCTGAGAGCCAGCAAGAAAATGAGGAACCTCAGCCCTATAATTGCAAGGAATTTAATTTTTCCAAAAACCACATGAGCTTGGATGAGAAACCTAAGCTCCAGAAGGAACAAAGCTCGGACAATAGCTGAATTGCATCATTGAAAGATCCCTAGAAGAGAACCCAGCTACTCTGTCCAGGCTACTGATCCACATAAACTATGATAATAAACTTACGTTATTTCAGAGTGCAAAGTCGATGATGTTTTTGTTACACATCAAAGACAACTAATATATACAGATTATAATTATATCAACTCCACACCAAGATACTAAAAGTTTTGACTGACCTTATAAATATTCTTCTGTATACTGAAACTACATCTAGTTTTTAGTTTAAATGTTTTATACAGTATAAAAACTACTCATCATATATTTTAAGATTTTGATTTTTCAGTTTTTTATTCTATGATTAATGAGCTTTTTTGATGCCAATTAAATATGAAATCTACCACAGAGCAATGCTTCAGCTGTCAACAATTTATTACTGAAAATGGTTTTAAAAAAGGAATTTTTTTTCCTGAAACCATATCACATACATGGCATTATTTAAATAGTTAAGAACAGTTTTTTATTTACTTCGTATCATGTGCCACAATTTAATTGTGGATATTTATGTATATAAGCAGTATAATTCGAGCCACGTTGAAATGTGTTGTTTAAAAAGATCTTTATATTAGATATTAATTGTTAGAATAGTTTTGTACCTCAAAAAATTGGAGAAGATAGTACAGATTTTCCCATTTTACCTGTAATTAAAAGTTTACATTAGTATGATGCATTTGCTACAGTTAATGAGCCCATACATTGTTATTAATTTAAGGCCATAGTTTATTTAGATTTCTTTAGTTTTAACCTAATGTCCCTTTCCTGTTGCAAGAGACTGTCCAGAGTATCACATTACATTTAATTTTCATATCTGTTTAGGCTTCTCTTGGCATCGGCTCATAATTTTTTTATTTTTAATTTTTAAATATTTTAACTTTTAACTTCAGGGGTACAAGTGCAGGTTGGTTACATAGGTAAGCTTGTGTCATGGGGGTTTGTTGTACAGATTATTTCATCATTCAGGCATCAAGCCTAGTACCCACTAGCTGTTCTCCCTGATCCTCTCCCTCTTCCACCCTCCACCCTCTGAAAGACCCCAGTGTGTGTTGTTCCCTTCTATATGTCCATGTGTTATCATCATTTAACTCTCACTTATAAGTGAGAACAATTTCCTTGCTTTTTATGACCTTGAATGTTTTGAGCAGTAATCAGGTATTTTGTAGAATGATTGGGGTTATGGGTTACTACAAAGAAGACTACAGAGGCAGAATGTCACTGTCATTACAACTTATCAAATGTACATATTTATCATCATAATTTATGACTGGTCATGTTGCTATGCATGTATAATGGAATGGAACAATTAAGTAAATGGATGGCAGATGGTGGGAGCCAGGATGTTCACTGTTGGAGTGGGAGTTTACAGATAAGCAAAGGCAGAAAGCTCGAATGATTGATGTGGTAATGAATTGGACACATCAGCATAAATTCAAGTTGAGCTTAATATAGACACAGATGGTTACATATAGAAATATTTATATATGTGTGCATATATATATGAGTTGGATTAAATACATATAATTTTTTGAATTTTTAATTAATATGTAACAGTTGTACATTTTATGGGGTACATATAATACATATGATATTTTGTTATGTGCATAGAATGTGTAATTATCAGGACATTTTGGGGTATCTATGACCTCAAGTATTTATTATGTGTTGGGAAATTTTCAACTTGTTTGTTCTAGCTATTTTGAAATATATAATACATTTTCATTAGCTATAGTCATCCTACTCTGCTATTTAAAATTAGAACTTACTCCTTCTATCTCACTGTATATCTCTACCCATTAATCAATCTCTTCTAATTCTCCTCACCCTAGCCCCCCAACACCATTCCCAGCCCTTGGTAACTATAGTTTACACTCTACGTTCAGGAGTTGGTTTTAACTCCCATCTATGAAAGAGAATATGCAATATTTTTCTTTTGGTGCCTGGATTATTTCGCTTAACATAATGACCTTACAGTTTCATCTATGTAGCTGTAAATGACAGGACCTCCTTATTTTTATGGTTGAGTAATATTCCATCGTAGGTATAGCACATTTGCTTTATCTATTTATTCATTAATAGACCCTTGGGTTGATTCTTCATCTTTGCTATTGTGAATAGTGCTGCAATAAACATGGGACACAGGTATTTCTTTGATACCCTGATTTTCTTTCCTTTGGATAAATACTGAGTAGTGGAATTGCTGGATTGTATGGTAGCTCTATTTTTAATTTTTTGAGAAATATCCACATTGTTTTCCATAATGGCTGTACAATAATTTACATTCCTACCAACAGTGTATTAGAGTTTTCTTTTCTCCACATTCTCACTAACTGTTATTTTTTGTCTTTTTAATAATAATCATTCTAACTGGGGAAAGATAGTATTTTACTGTTGTTTTGATATGTATTTCTCTGATGGTTAGTCATGTTGAGCATTTTTTCATGAGTAGTTGGCATTTTGTATAACTTCTTTTGAGAGGTGTCTGTTTAGATTCTGAAACCACATTTTAATGGGATTCTTTATAATTTTTTCTATTTATTAAATTGAGTTCCTTGTATATTCTGGATGTTAGTCCACTGTTGGATGAATAGTTTGCAAACATTTTATCCTATTCAACAGAATGTATCTTCACCTTATTGATTATTTCCTTTGCTGTGCAGAAGCTTTTAAGTTCAATATAGTCTCATTTGTCTATTTTTGTTCCTGTTGCCTGTGGTTTTGCAGTCTCAGGTATAAAATCTTTGCTTAGACCAGTGTTCTATAGTGTTTCCCCTATGTTTTCTTGTAGTTGTTTTATAGTTTAGAGTCTTAGATTTAGGTCTTTAATCTACTTTGAGTTGATTTTTGTATATAGTGAAAAATAGTTTAGTTTCTTTCACCTTCATAGAGATATCCCATTTTCCCAGCACCATTTTTAAATAGGGTATCCTTTCCCCAATGTATGCTTTGGTGTTTGAGTCAAAAATCAGTTGGCTATTGATATGGTTTGGATGTGATAGTGAATAAGTCTCATGAGATCTGATGGTTTTATAAAGAACAGTTCCTCTGCACACTCTCTCTTACCTGGCACCATGTAAGACATGCCTTTGCTCCTCCTTTGCCTTCTGCCATGATTGTCAGGCCTCCTCAGTCATTTGGAACTGTGAGTCCATTAAACCTCTTTTTTCTTTGTAAATTAGACGGTCTCAGGTATGTCTTTATTAGCAGTGTGAGAACAGACTGATACAGCTATAAATATGTGGAACTATTTCTTGGTTCTCTATTTGTTCTATTGGTCTGTAAGTCTATTTTTCATCCAGTACCATGCTATTTTGGGTACAATAGCCTTATAAAATATTTTAAAGTTGTAAAAATATTGTAAAATATTAAAAAAATCTAAATATTTTCAATATTATAGTCATGTAAAATATTTTAAAGGCAAATATGTAAAGCCTCCAGATTTGTTCTTTTTCCTTAAGATTAATCTTACAACTTTTATTACATTTGCAGTGTGTGTGTAAAAAATGACATTGGCATTTTGAAAGGGAATGTATTTAATCTGTACATCGCTTTGGGTGGTATGACCATTTTAGCAATTGTAATTATTCTGGTTCATGATAATGAGATGTTTTTCTATTTGTTTGTGTCATCTTCCATTTCTAATTTTGTAGTTTTTCTTGTAGAGAACTTTCACCTTCTTGGTTCAGCTTTTTCCTATGTATTTTCTTTTTGTAGCTTCTATAAATAAAATTGACTTTTTGAATTCTTTTTCAGCTATTTAATTATCAGCATATAGAAATAATACAGACTTTTGTATATTACTTTTGTATTCTGCAAATTTACTTAATTTGTCTTTCAGACCTAAATTCTTTGGTGTAGTCTTTAGATTTTTCCTGATATCAGATCATGTCATCTGCAAATAGAGATATTTTGATTTTCTCTTTTCCAATTTGGATGCCTTTTACTATATTTCTTTCTTTTGTCTGATTTCTCTGGATAGACCTTCAGTACTATGTTAAATAGGAATAGTGGAAGTGGCCATCCTTGCCTTATTTCAGTTCTTAAAGTAAAGACTCTGTTTCTCTTCATTCAGTATGACGTCAGCTATAGGTTTGCCATACACAGCCTTTATTATGTTGCAGTATGTTCCTTCTATGCCTAGTTTGTTGAGAGTTTTTTAACATGAAGAAATTTTGAATGTTATCAGATGCTTTTAGTGTATCTCTTTGGATGATCATATGTTTTTTGTCCTTCATTCTGTCAATGTAATATATCGCATTTATTGATTTGTGCATGTTGACATTGCTACATCCTTGGGATAAATCCTACTTGATCATTATGTTTTATATTTCTGATGTGCTGGCTGTTGTATTCAGTTTGCTAGTATTCTACTGATAATTGTTGTTCCTATGTTCATCAGCGTTCTTGGTGTATATTTTTTGCTATTGTGTTTGTGTCTGATTTTGGTGCCAGGATAATGCTGGCCTTGTAGAAGTGAGGCAGAATTCCCTCTTTTTTAATTTTATGGAATAATTTAAGGAGAACTGGTGTTAGTTCTTCTTGATAAGTTTGCTAACTTTTGACAGCGAAGTCATCTGGTCCTGGGCTTTTCCTTTTGAGGATACTTTTTATTATTGATTCAATCTTCTTACTTGTTATTAGTCTGTTCAGGTTTCCTACTGCTTCCTGATTCAATCTTCCTACATTGTATATGTACATACTGTATTCATCCCCTCTAGGGTTTCCAGTTTGTTAGCATATAGTTATTCGCAATAGTCTCTGATGGTCTCTTATATTTCTGTGGTGTCAGTTCTGTTTCTAATTTTGTTTATTTGGGTCTTCTCTGTTTTCTTTGTTAGTCTAACTGGTATCAATTTTCTTGATCTTTTCAAGAAATCAACTTGCCATTTTGATGATCCTTTGTAATCTTTAGTCTCTCATTTATTTCTGATACAAACTTTATTATTTTTTCTACTGAGTTTCATTTTGGTTTGTTCTTGCTTTTCTAGTTCCTTCAAATTCATCATTAAATGGTTAATTGAAATTTTTCTACGTTTTTGACATAGGCATTTATTGCTATAAACTTGCCTAATAACCCTGTTTTCACTGAATTACATGGGTTTTGAGATGTTGTATTATTTTCTTTTTCATTTCTGTTAAGGATTTTTTTGATTCTCATCTTAATTTCTTCATTGACCCAGTGGTTATTCAGGAGCATGTTGTTTAATTTTCATGTACTTGTAAAGTTTCCGAAGTTTCTCTTGTCATTGGTTGCCAGTTTTATTTCACTGTGGTCTGAAAAAATACTCAATATAATTTTGATTTTAAAAATTGTTGAGACTTGCTTGTAGACAAATATGTGATCTGTCCTGGAGTATGTTCCACGAGATATTGAGAAAAAACGGGTATTCTGCAGCTTTTGGATACAATGTTCTACAGACATATTTTAGGTTCATTTGTTCTAAAGGGAAATTTAAGTTCAATTTTGTTATTGTTGTTAATGTTCTGTGTAGATACTGCTGAGACTGGGAAGTTAAAATTTCTAGCTATTATTGTATTGTAGTCTATCACTACCTTTAGATATACTAATATTTACTTTATATATATAGATGCTTTGGTGTTTGGTGCATATACATTTATGATTATTTATCTGCCTGCTGAATTGATTCCTTTATCATTATATAATGAACTTCTTTGTCTCTTCCTACATTTTTTGACTTAAAATCTGTTTTATCTGATATAAGCATAGCTACTCATGCTAGTTTTTTGTTTCCATTCTTTTACTTTTAGTCTGTATGTATATTTACAGGTGAAGTGAGTTTTTTTGTATATGGGATATAATTGGAATATATTTTTCTATTCATTCACCCAGGTTTTATCTTTTAAGTGAAAAGTTTAATCTACTAACATTAAAGACTGTTATTGATATGTGAAGACTTATTCCTGTCACTTCGTTAATTGTTTTCTGGTTGTTTTGTATCTATTTTGTTCCTTTATGTCACTCCTGTTGTTTATGATTGTGGTTTCATGGTTTTCTGTAGTGGCGACACTTGAGTATTTTATCTTCCTCATTTGTGTATTTACCAGTGAGTTTTATCTTTTTTGTGTATTTCATGATGGTGGATATTGCCCTTTTTGCAGGCGTAGGATACCCTTAAGCATTTCTTTTAGGATTGGTCTAGTGATGAATTTCTCAGTTTTTGCTTATTTGGGAAAAACATTATTTCTTCTTCATTTATGAAGAATAACTTTGCTGTATGCAGCATTCTTTTTTTTTTTTTTTTTTTTTCAAGACGGAGTCTCTCTCTGTCGCCCAGGCTGGAGTGCAGTGGTGCGATCTCTGCTCACTGCAAGCTCCACCTCCTGGGTTCACGCCATTCTCCTGCCTCAGCCTCCGGAGTAGCTGGGACTACAGGCGCCCACCATCACGCCCACCTAATTTTTTGTATTTTTAGTAGAGACGGGGTTTCACCGTTTTAGCCAGGATGGTCTCGATCTCCTGACCTCGTGATCCGCCCGCCTTGGCCTCCCAAAGTGCTGGGATTACAGGCGTGAGCCACTGCGCCGGGCCCAGCATTCTTGAATGGCAGGTTTTTTTTCTTTCATCTCTTTGAATATATCATCCCATTCTCTCCTGGCCTGTAAGGTGTGTGCTAAGAAATCTACTGTTGGCCTGATTGGGATTCCCTTATATGTGACTAGATGCTTTTCTATTACTGTTTTTTAATTAATATTATTATTATTTATTTTAGTTTAGTTTAGTTTTACTTTTGATGGATTGACTATAATGTGCAGTAGAGCAGAACTTTTTGGGTTGTATCTATTTGGGGATCTCTGAGCTTCCCCTATCTGGATATATAAATCTCTTGTTCAACTTGTAAAATGTTCCACTACTATTTTTTACTTAAATTATCTATGCCTTTGGGCTTATTGAACCTTCTGAAATACCCAGTATTCATATATTTCATCAATTATGGTGCCCCATGTTTCACATAGACTTTGCTTATTCTTTTTTATTATTTGTGTGTGTGTGTGTGTGTGTGTGTGTGTGTCTGACAGAATTATTTCAAAAGACCTGTCTTCAAGTTCAGAAATTCATTGTTTACTTGATCTACTTTATTATTGAAACTCTCAAATGAATTTTTAATTTATTTCATTGAAATCTTCAGTTCCAAGATTTCTGTCTGATTCTCTTTTAAATATCTGTTATATTGGTAAAATTTTTATTTATATCTTGAATCATTTATCTGTATTTTTTGATCTTTTATAATAACACTATTTTAAATTTTTGTGGCATTTTATTAATTTCTTTGTCATTGAAATCTGTTGCTGAAGAATTCTTGTGTTCTTTTAGAGGTGTCATATTTCCTTTCTTTTTTTTCCTGTGTGTGTGTGTGTGTGTATGTGTGTGCATCCTTACATTTATATCTGTTCATCTGCTGCAATAGCCACTTCTTCCAAGTTTTTGTATTGGCTTTCATAGGGGCAGACTTTTTCCTAAAGATGTATCTTTGATGTTGGTTGGATTGGGCACTTTAGCTTTGATTTGGGGTAGGTGCAGAAGTACCGTCTCCATATGATTTCTTCAGCTATAAACAGCATCAGTGATGCCCTTGATTTTCTCTGCAGTTAGGATACCATTGTTAGTGGAGGCTGTGGTGAGGTGCTATTGGGAAGGCAACACCAGATGGGCCAGTTCTCAGGCCCCAGTGGTGGCAATGGTGAGCTGAGCATGCTTATCTTTGGGCCTGGGGGCAGCATATGCAGGAACTGGTGCTAGGTGGTCAAACTGGGCCAGATTTTAGGCCTCCAAGTGACTTGCTTGGGTGCTGGCAGGAGCAGCAGTGGGCTGGGTGTGTGGGTAGATCCTTAGCACGCTGAGCAGTGCACAGGGTCTAAGTGATGACTGTAGCAATGACGCAACAACCCTGGAGCTCCCAGGCAGCACGTGTTTGTGTTAGTATTGGCTGTGATGAGCTGGGTGAGCCACTTCCTAGGTCCCCACATGGTGTGTGTGGGTATGAGCCAGCTATAATGGTAGCAACGCCCAGTAGCAGAGACTTATCCTCAGCAGGGTAGGCTTATCCTCAAACCCCTGAGAGGAATGCACTGATGCCAACAGTGGTGGACAGGGTGGGGCCATCTCCAGGCATGCTTAGCATTGAAGGAGTGATGCCAAGCCCAGCAGATATGTCCTCAGGGGCCCCAGAGGTGCACATGGGCACAGGTTGTGGTGCACAGGGTGAAGTGTTCTCCAGGTCCCTGGAAAAGTGCTAGTGTAACAGCAGCAGTGGTGATGGTGAGCGGGATAGCCCATCTTTGATGTATGTGTAAGCTCACTCTGTCCCTGCTGCTGAGTGAGAATGGATTTCCGTCAGTGGTAACAGCCTCAAGGAGGTGGCTCTCAAACTCTCTGAAGAGCACACACTTTGGACCACAGTGGCAATGGCTGTAACAGTGAGCAGGGAGAACCAGTTCTCAGGACACATACAAGGGTGTGGTACCTGTAATAGCAGGAGGCAGGGTCACTGGCAGTGGTGCTTACTTTAGCCATTGGCACTGGCAGCAGTGGAGGCTGTGAGCAAGGAGAATCTGTCCTCAGTACACACGCAAGTGCACTGTGGCTCTGCTTCTGGCAGGAACAGAGTTGCTGTAAGTTGCAGTGGCCCCAGGTAGGCAGGTTTCATGCTCTATGGAGCGTACACCTTGGCTCCCTTAGTCCCAGGTGCAGCCTCCTTGGTGCACTGTTACACATTCCCTGGAGTGCAGGAGACTGCATGTGCTAGAGTGCTGAGGACCCTGCTGCTCCACTGAGTCCAACTAGTATTATGCTGCTGCTGCTCTATGGATAGATGCAGGGGGATGTCAGTGGTGCTCCAGGGATGTGAAAATACAGGGGCTATTGGGCCCCTGGGCAGAATGCAGTCTTGTGGGATTCAGGCTTTCAATATGGCACTGTGATGTGATTCCTCAGGACTTGGGGCACAGGGACTCACCATGCATTTCTTCTCTTGAACGGTACCACAACACCGACGTCAGGAAGCTTCCTTTGTGAATCTCAGTGCCCACAAGAGTAAAGGGGTTTTTCTGTGGCTAGGGTTACAGGGGTTCATGCTGGGAATGTGGACCACTAGAGATCTCTCATTTACTATTTCCCTATACTGAGTGGTTCTTCAGGCTTTCAGCAGATCCTGGCTGAGTCAGCTGCCTCACTTCCCTCTTCCATGACTCTGAGATTGTCTGTCTCTTCTTTATTGAATTCCCGTGTTATGTTTTAGATGCTGTATGCAAAATGTGCTTACCTTCTGGCTATTTCGGTTCTTCTTTGTGGAGTGAGTGCTAGATGTCTTTAGTCAGCCATCTTGAAGTCCTCTCCCAATATCAAATTTCGGTTCTGTGAGCCCAAATCAGGAAAAACAACAACAAAAGTCCAGTAGCAATTAGGACATCTCATACTCAGATCTTGTTTTCTAACAGTCATCTCCAATAAAAAGAAGCAGGTTGCTGTAGAAATGTCTGAGTGTATGACTGAGGCAGGAAATGTACAAGATGGGCCTGGTGTGTTACGTAATGCTGGAAAGGAAGAAAGTGCCCAAACACTCACACACAAACATATACACACTCTCACATACACCCACACCACGCACACAATTGATAGAAAGGTATGTCAAAGAATTATAAAGGAGCCAACTAAATGAGCATTAATATTCAGACAAAGCCAAATAGTTTGAGCAATTCAAAAATATTGTAACACAAAGTATAAAATAAATTCTTATGAACACACATAGCTCGTCAATAAATGATCAAATAAATTAACAAATTGGGAAAAACAGACGAATCTTTGATAAGGAAGCATTCCAAATACTTTATGTAGGGACTCTTTCCTCAAGGTGGGAGAGTGTAACTCTCCTCACCACCCCTTAGGTGTGGGTGGGGCAGAGTGACTTCCAAGTGTACCCTGTGGAAGGCAGAGAGGGAGTAAGGAAGGGAGAGAGTAACTTTACATTGCAGACACCTCGCCAGTGCTTAGGGCCAACAAGAAGTCATAAATCCTTTGCTATTCTGAATTGGTTAGTCTACCAACATGCAATAGTATATAAAAGTTGTTGTCGGGCCAGACATGGTTGCTCAAGCCTGTAATCCCAGCACTTTTGGAGGCCAAGGCAGGTGGATAACTTGAGTCCAGGAGTTGAAGACCAGCCTGGGCAACAAGGCACGAATCTATCTTTACAAAAAATACATAAATTAGCTGGGTGTGTTTGTGTGTGCCTGTAGTCCCAGCTGCTAGGGAGGTTGAGTGGGAGGATTGTTTGCTCCCAGGAGATGGAGGCTGTAGTAAGCAGTGATCGTGCCACTGCACTACAGCCTGACTGACAGAAAGAGACCCTGTCTCTAAATAAATAAATAAATAAATAATAAAATAAATAAATAAATAATAAAATAAAATAAAATAAAAATTTTGTGAACGTGGTGACAATATTGTTGGCAGGCTTAGACACCAGATAAACCAAGGCATTAGAACTGAGAATGGATGCCTGAAAGGATTTTATAAAATGGTTGTATTTTAAGGTGCTGTCTTGCTAGAGATTTTGCCAATATTGGGGAGTATCCTGGGGAATCAAACATAATTCATGGAATCTGAAATTTATTTTCCAAAAATTAGTAATTTGTAGTTACCTAAAATTATAAAAATTTACAACAGTAATTTTGAAGCAAATATAAAGGTTATATGCAAATGGTTTTCTTCATTGTAACTTTACCTTATTATTTTAGTACTGTGTAAATTTAGTGGTTAATAAATTGCCTAGCATCTATAGATATTTAATAAATAATGTTTCATTTTATTTGATTATAACTTAATAGTCAGGAACAGTGCTTTAAAATGGTTCTTCACTTTGGCATATTATTTTCTGCCCTTTGAAAATGGAGATTTATGTATATGACAATTGCATAATTTTAAATGATACTTATGTTGATGAAAACCCAGCTGGTTTTGTAGAAGAAATAAAAGGAAAAATTATCTTCTTTACCAATTAAAAATCAAGGAGAATAAGAATTTTAATAAGCCTCCTGGGAGACTTGTCTTTTGTATCTTTGATAAATACATGATTATAAGGACAAATTATATGAGTAGCAATAATTTCCCAGTAATGTGATCATTAAAAGACCTCTCGACTGTAATATATCAGTATTAATTGGGGACAGATGATCATTTTAGTGACATCTTCAAGTCATTATCCATATTTCAATACTTCATGAATGCCTGAATATTCCTAATGAAGTGATTATTTTTTTAAAGATTTTCAGTGCAATGATCTTAATAAGGTTGTTTATTTTAAAACTAGAAAAAAGTAAAAGAATAGAATTAGACATTGCTAATTAAGACTATTTGAGAAAGACATTTGAGGAAAGTGCACCAAATATTAACTTTTGGTTATTTTGGATATGAAAAGATTTTAGCATTTACCAAAATTATGCTATGTACCATCAGTTACATTATATAAGCAAAAACAAAATATAACAATGTGTGTGTTCTGAATCAGTGATCCACATTTTAGGACATAATTTGTTAAATATGATATTCAAATAAATATTAAAAATGAAAAACACAGTACCTCCAAAAAATCCCTCCCCAAATCTTATATTTGTTAATGACTATTCCTTCTTGCTTATCTAATTTGTTTACTTCCTGTGAGTATATTTTCCCAACTGTGAAACGACAGCTACAGTATTTCTACTATTGGAAGATATGCCAAAGTATGTCAAAGTTGTTCACATCTCTTTCTAAAATTGTTCATTTTATGATTTTAAATATTATATCACAATCACATCTGTTATTAACTTACCAATATGCTAAAAAATTGTTTACTAGAGATTTCATTCCTAAGTTTCAAGAAGTACTCTTTTTACTGATACATTACCGAATATTGCATAGTTTTAGAGTAAGTCCAAATTTTTGAAAGTATATTTTGCTTCTTTTCTCTCACAAAACCATTTTTTTTTTGCGTTTTTAACAGTCCATGACCTCTCCATTGGCTTTTTATCTCTTTCTTCTGATTCTCAGCCTAATTCTCTAACTTTTTAATTTCTAATTTGAAATATTTATCTTTCTTACTTGAAATTCTTAAATATGAAGTTTATGTAAGTTCTGTTATCTTATTTTTCATTCAATCACTAGTAATCTTATAATCTTATTTTCATATTCATTCATTTTCAAATCTCTAAAGAATGTTTCCTCTGTCTTAAGCTTCTGTTGCTGTTTTAAATGTTTTATGTATATTATCTCATTTAATGTCCTAAAAAGTTTTGACTAGTTATATTATTATTCTCTACTTTGGATAAGCAAATAGAGACAAAAGAAAGTTAAATAACTTGCTCAATGTCACACAGAAAAATGGTAGAGCTAGTGCCAGAGTTTCAACCAAAGCAGTGGTACTACAGTTCTACTATTGCATAGATTTATTCTGTGCAAGGTGTTTATCAAATCCAGTATTTTCAAAGAAAATAGATTTTCTACTAGTTACTCACCCATTCTCTCAAACTGCAAGAATTATTATTCTCTTCCTTTATTATCCACATGTTCATTAGATTATATCATTTCACATTCACAGATGACTTTCACATCTAACTTCTCTATTTTCACCTCCTCTGCCTTAATGTTGGACCTTTCCATTCATTATTTTTGCAGTTCAATCTCTATCATCAGCCTACTCTCCTGTTCCATTTCAAATTAGTAGACAACACAGCTTGCATTGTCTTACCAGAAGATAAAATTGGTCATGTCAATGTATTCCTAACTGTTCAAACTATATCATTCAGATGACAGCATTTTAAATAATATTTTTATGCCATAAACTGGCAACCTGAATGATGAGAGGATATGACCAGTCTACTATGCAAGTCCTAGTGGTGCACTAAGAAACTAAACAGATACATTTAACTGCAGCACTCACAATGGAATATTTTATATGATAATTAGATAGAACCTTTATTGCTGACAGAGCCAAACCTTTATCCTGTTGGTATTCCTGGTTCCTTAGTTTTGACAGATTTCTCACTCCATAAATGCTATCTTGTTAATTTCCAGTGATAGCCTTTTTGTGAAACAAAGAAGACAATAACAGATGCCTTATAGACTCATTTGCACCCTTGACCTGGTGAATATACTTTGTATGGCTTATTAGTCTGTTATTAAACAAATCGAGAGCAATTAAAACCAAACTTAATTCTTCAGTATTTATTCTCATCTGACTTTGAAACTGCACCAGCTTTTATGGTTTCCCACTCACAGAGTTTTAAAATCTTACTCTAGCTTAACTTTCAATAGTTATCTCATTCATGTCACTAACATATCCAACATGAAGTTCTCTACATTGTGGAGACTGAAGAAACTTTTGTTCCTCCACTTGTAATAGTCAATTCTTTGACCAATTCCATCTCATACTTTTAAAAAACCTACCAAAAATATGGTCTTCTTAATTAAACCTGCTTCCCAACTTTCCCAAACAGTCTGTTTAACTATACTCTACATGACATTTCTTAAGACTTCTCATTCTTTGTTATAACTTGTCTTCCTCCCCTTTCTCACTTCCTCTAGTTACAGTGAGAGCTTTAAGAACAAGAATTTTGCTCATTGCTTCGTTCTATATGTTATGTCCCTTTTGTTTCATTTCTTTTATATCAGTTGTATAACATAACGATATTACTTGATCTTTGGAGAGTTCTGCTCTGTTCCTCTATATTCCTCTTGTTTTATGACGACACCTGTGATTACCTGCATTTATAGTCATTGCTTTGTCTTATTTTCATCTCTCCACCACCCCGTCTTCACCATTAAACTAGCAAGTACTTTAAAGATGGAGATGTTTACCTTACTAATTTTTATTCCCTCTGAAGCCTCTAGCACACTATTAGGTATTTAATAGGTTCAAAATAAATATGGCTCTAAAGTAATGTTTCTAAAATCAGCAAATGCTGGCTAAACAGATTGCTATCTTCATGTTTTAGGCTCTGTTAGCCTTATTATTAACAATTCTTATTTTATTTTATTTTGTTGCTCTGGGGTCTCACTCTCACCCGGGCTGGAGTGCAGTGGCCCAGTCTTGACTCACTGCAACCCCTGCCTCCCGAGCTCAAGCAATCCTCCCACCTCAGCCTCCCAATTAGCTGGGACCCACAGGCACACGTCACCCTGCCCAGCTAATTTTTTATATTTTTGGTAGAGATGGGGTTTCACCATGTTGGCCAGGCTGGTTGCGAACTTCTGACCTCAAGTGATCTGGCGACCTCAGCCTCACAAAGTGCTGGGATTACAGATGTGAGCCACTGCACCCAGCCAAGATTGAAATAATAAAAAAAAAAATGCATTTACCTTGGTGACAAAGACCAACTAAAGGCTTAATTTCACTCTGTTTGATATGTGTTTGATTAATGACAAATTAAATTGTAAATAAAATATTGTTTAATATAAGGGACACATTTAGTTTGTTTGGTAAGGTCATGTTTCCTTGGATGTTCTTTTTTAAAAATTTTATTTTATTTTATTTTTTAGAGCCAGAGTCTTGTTCTATCACCCATGCTAGAGTACAGTGGCATGATCATTGCTCACTGTAACTTTGAACTCCTAAGCAAAAGTGATCCTGTTATCTCAACCTCCTGAATAGCTAGAACTACAAGCAGGCAGCAACATGCCTGACTAACTTTTTACTTTGATTTGTTATAGAGATGGGGGTCTCTCTGTGTTGCCCAGGCTGGTCTTGAACTTTTGGCCTCATGAGTTCCCATCTTGGTCTCCAAAAGTGCTGGGATTACAGTTGTGAGCCACTGTACCCAGCACTGGGTATTCTTAATGCTTATGGATGCTCACTGATGTCCAGGAGTTGAAGAAATGGAGATTTATTCTAGTCCTCATAGTCTGGGCTTGATTATACTCATCTTTCTTGAGAAGACTTTCCAGATATTCAAAGGAAATTGAGTGTTGTGATCTTAGTCTATAGTCACTGTAGCTACATCTGCACTAGGGTGTGATCCAAGCCCAGTATCACTGTGACTCTTGCTGATTCCTACCACGTTGGTGGACTTGATTAAGATCCGGGAAATTTCCTGAATTACCAGGCAGAGTCTTATAGTCCTGGCTCACTTTCCTCCAAATAGAAAGAGCCCGTGTCTATGTGCTTGGCTGTCTGGAGTTCCGGGAGAGGTGATGCAAGCATTCCAATGGCCACCAGAGCTAGGACTATGCTGGGTCACCTCTGAAGCCAGCGCAGTACTGGATCTTGCCCAAGGTTCAAGGGGACTACTGCCTGGCTACCGCTGATGTTTATTCAAAGCCTACTGGCTCTTTAGTCAGCAGGTGGGCAATCCTGCTTACTGGGTCCTTTTCTTCTGGGCAGAAGATTCTCAGGCTGGGTCTAGACTTGCCATCTATGAGTTAGCACCTGTAATAAAGAGCTTCAGAAATCTACTTGATGCTTTATTTTATTATGGCGGAGCCGGTACCCAAGTTGCAAAATAAAGTCCTCTTTCCTTACCCTTCCTTCTCTTTTCCTGAAGCAGAGAAGTCTCTCCCCAAGCTGCACTGCCTAATGTTGGGAGAACGGTGATGCACACACCCCCTTGGCTGCCACAGCTTGTCTCTGATTGGACTCTGTGTACCCTAAGCCCCCCGGCTCCAAGCCAAGCACAACGCTAGCACTTTCCCGAGGACTGCAGTCTTTGTGGCCTGACTGCCTTTCACATTTATCTAGGACCACAGGGCACTTTAGTCAGCCGGCGGTGGAGCTAGCCAGAACTCAGTTTCTTACTGCTGGGGCAGAATATTTTCTGGCTAGGGCCTTTCTAAATGCTTCATTCATGGGCACGGGCAGGATCTTGTTTTGTGTTGTGTTCTGCTGCAGCAAGACAGCACTGAGTTCTAATGCAAAGTTTCATAATCACTTCACTCTCCCTCCCCCATGCACACAAATTCTCTCTCCACTAGCCTCTTGGGGAGTGTGAGAGGGGTGGTGTAGGCAATGCAAGACGACATTTTCTACCCTCTTCAGCACTTCCTTTCTTTTCTTATTTATTTATTTATTTATTTATTTATTTAGGCGGAGTCTCGCTCTGTCGCCCAGGCTGGAGTGCAGTGGTGCGATCTCAGCTCACTGCAAGCTCTGCCTCCTGGGTTCACGCCATTCTCCTGCCTCAGCCTCCCGAGTAGCTGGGACTACAGGTGCCCGCCACCACCCCCGGCTAATTTTTTGTATTTTTAGTAGAGACGGCGTTTCACCGTGTTAGCCAGGATGGTCTCGATCTCCCGACCTCGTGATCCGCCCGCCTCGGCCTCCCAAAGTGCTGGGATTACAGGCATGAGCCACTGCGCCCGGCCTCTTTTCTTTATATGATTCTAAAACCAGGTACTGTAATCACTCACCTGATATTTTGTCTTTATGCAGGCATTTCTTGCACAGATTCAATTCAATTTGGTGTTCCTGTGAGGGGGATGACTACCGAAGGGTTCTATGCATCCATCTTGCTTGGCCCCTCTAAATGCACATACTTTTCTTAAAAGTACAGTTGGTTTTACATATCTGTGAGTTCCACATCTATGGGCTCAACCACCTATAGATACTACATTTTTGGGGAAAAGAAAACATTTGTACTACACATGTACAAACTATTTTATTGTCATTATTATTTAAACAATACAGCATAACAACTATTTACATAACTCTTACATTGTATTAGATATTATAAGTAATCTGAAGATTATTTAAAATATTCAGGAAGATGCACCAGGGTTATATGCAAATACTACACAATTTTGTATTACAGACTTCAGCATCTGCAGGTTTCAATCTTCGCAGGAAGTCCTGAACCCAATTCTTTGTGGATACTGAGAGATGACTACATTACAAACAAAATATTCTCAAAGTAGTACTGAAAGTCAATGGTAAGCAATATGTTCAGAATATCATTAAAAGTCCATTTCTGTTTTCTGTTGCTACATAACAAATTATCAAAAAAAAATTTAAAAAAACAAAACAAATGATCATAAACATGTCAAATGATCATAAACATGTCAGCTTAAGCAACACAAATTGATTAACCCCCAGTGTCTGAGTGTCAGGACTTTGAGTCTGATTATCTGCTGTCTTGCAAGGTCTTATGATCTAAGTATCTGCTGGGCTGTATTCTTTGCCGAAATTCCAGGCCTGCTTTAAAATTCCTCTTGCCGTTTCAATTTCTCGTGCTTGTAAGACTGAAGCTCCCCTTCTCTCGCTCACAGGATCTCTCAGCTTCTAGATGCTGAGAGTTCATTTTCTTGCCACATTGCCCCTCCATAGGCTCTTTCAGTCTTTGAATCTCTTCTTCAGGAGGGGATTGCACTCATCTGAGGAAGTAAGGTCCACAGGATAAGTTACCTTTGTAATTACTGAAAGTCAGTTTCTTACAGTAACGACATCTGAAAAATCTCTTCTCCTTTATGAAGTAACCTAGTTATGGGATAGAAATTCCATCATCTTCACAAGTTTTTCCTTTATTGAGGGAATGGCATATATACCAGGGAGCCAGAATCTTTGGAACCATTTTAGAATTTTGCCTACCATAAATGGGTTAGCATTATAGCTTATGTTTTCTATTAACTTTTTCTATCTTAAAGCAGACATAAAATAATTGTCATGAAATGAACACATTCTTCCTATAATTACATTTTATTTTGATATATGTTTCTTAAAGAAAGTTGAAGAGTGATGTGTTGTTATTTTTGTTTTCAAAATTCAAGATGTAATAGCACCTTGTACTTAGAATAAATAAGATATTCTATATGAGACAACTGCACAGTCTCTTTCTTGCACAAAGAAATTATTCCACTTTTTTGTTATCTAAAACTGCCCCATCTTCATTTCTATCATCAACTATAGTTAAGAAATTGATGGTTGGTAAATTTTGAATAAGCAAATAATCTATACTGTATACACATTATATCTTAACAATACTGTAATTTTAAATTTGTTTCCTAACAAGTATTTATTTTTGACTCCACCTTAAATATTTCAGCATTTATGTGTGTAATGATTCATTTTATCTGTTATCTTGACTGTTAAGGGGTGCCCAGATATTTGGCTAAACATTATTTTCATGTTTGTGTCTGACGGAGTTTCTAGATCAGATTGGCAATTGAATTAATAGACTCAGTAGAGTAGATTACCCTCCCCAGTGTGGGTGGGCGTTGACCAGTCCACTGGGGGCCTAAATGGAACAGAAATTCTGAGGAAGCACAGATTTGCTCTCTCTGCTTTACTGTTGGAGCTGCAACATCAATCTCCAGCCCTCAGACTAGAACTTACATGATTGGTGCTCCTGGGTGTTACGTCTTCAGACTTAAACTAGAACTATACCACTGGCTTTCCTAGGTCCCCAGTGTGCAGACAGCCGACCATGGGACTTCCCAGCCTGCATAATTGAATGAGCCAATTTCAAATAATATTTTTGTGTGTTTATATAATATATTGATTTTCCTGGAAAGCAATGAATAATATAGATTTTATTGTCAAGAGTGGTTCTAGATAACAAAATAATAAGGATGAGCTTTCTGAATTGTTTCTGGGGTTTGTTGAAGTTTCTTACTAATCTGATTAGACTTAAAGACATTAATAACTTTATTTCCACTTGTCAAGAAAGCACTGATTGTTCATGCTGTAAACTGGTAATAAGTGATATGCAAAACATCTTAATCAAACACTCCTAATCAGCCATTTATAAGAAGGAGCTGAGTGACTGTGTACATAAAACTTAAGAACATTTTTTGGAAAACTGATGAATATACTTAGGTTAGCATGTTGCTCTTAAAATCACTGTGTGAAGTGGTAGGGGGAAAAAAGATGAGTTCAGGGTTTCAAATTCCTAGTGTAAGTGCAGCATAAATGACTTGAAGACATATATCTGTGCCCTAAGGTAGAACTTCACCTCCTATAGCCGCAGGGCTGAAATTGCTGAAAATCATATGCAGAATCTCATTCTGCATCTAGCTGAATTACAAGGCAGGTTAAACTCCTAGCCTCACAAGGTATCTACTGTTAAAGTGAGAGCAGT
The DNA here is from genome assembly GCF_000001405.40 of Homo sapiens. Taxonomy (NCBI): domain Eukaryota; kingdom Metazoa; phylum Chordata; class Mammalia; order Primates; family Hominidae; genus Homo; species Homo sapiens. Next base: position 80,349,707 of record NC_000003.12, read on the forward strand.
GCTTGGGACATAACAGGATCCTGTAAGTTGAGATGGAAATGTATGAAATGACCCTGATGAAGATGGGAACACCAAGCCCTTAAATTCTGATGAGCATTGTCTGACAGTAACATGGGCCTCCCCAACCCCAGTGAAAGTGGCTTCCCCACACCGGCAGAAATAATCTAAAATAGAATAACTCTATCTTTAAAACATAATCTAAATGCCATTTTCACATAAAAAATTTGTAACAATTTATTAATATCATCTATTACTCAGTCTTGAAGCTTTCAATTATCTCATAAAAATTACAGATTTGGTTTTTACAGTTAATTGTATTTCTTTAATCAAGCTCCAAATATGGTCACAATCTTTAGTCTTCCTTTGCATTTTTTGTTTGTCATTCTTATTACATATTTGTTGAAGAAACAGGGATGTTTTGACACGGTTTACCACAATCTGTATTTTGCTGATTATATCTTCTAGTGTAGTGTTCCTCTGTGTTCTCTATTTCTATAATTTGATATTTGGATTTAGACTGTTGAACAAATTCAAGTTTGAAAGTTTGGACAAGATTACTTCATAGGTGGTTCTGGGTTTTTCTGTTGGAGACATACAAAAGCTGTTTTTTTTTTTACTTTTAATATTAAATCTTATACCAACACCTTTACTACACATTAAATTCACATTTATGTTAGAGAGAAATAGAAAGTATTTAAAATACCTGGAAATGTGCTTTTTAAAAATCTTTTCCCAAAATTTATGGCATGCATATTTCTATGTTAATAAAACACATCTATAATATCAGTTTTCCTGGCTCTATAGGAATTGTAGCTCAGGGAAATGGTGTCAAAAAAAGTGAACTTTTTGAATTGAATAGTTTTATTTTAGGCTTTGATATCTAATTCTATATTACACCTATTCAAGAAATATGTGATAATTTATGTCTCCAGTTATAATAAATTATTTAACAAGTATTTGTTTATTCCCTATTCTCTTTCAGGCACTGTCCTGGAAGCTCCTGATAAGGTATCTTGTGAAGAACGCTTGTTGTACACTGGTTACCAACTTGTCTGAGTCCACTGAAGTGGAGACATTGCAACACAACAAGATAGATAACAGATAGGCAGCAAGGGAGGACAAAAGCCTTGGATTCCCTGTGAGTTGGTCCTGCAGGCTCAGGAAAGTTCTCTGAGTCAGATCTATATGTGCTCCACTTGAACCACAGCTGAGAAACCCTGGAGAGCAGCCCACCTGGGTTTCATGCTCTGGGACACGTGAGATGCTGGGCTAAAACTTTGAAGAACATTCTGTTTTTCGCGAAGAGCTGGAACAGAGCCTAGAGTCTTCCAACAAGCTCCTCCTTATCTCAAGATATTGCATTCCCAGAATATTCTACAGTCATTCTTGAGAACTGCGAGTGAGAAAAATGGGGAGAACTGATTTGGTCCAAGGTCACCTAGAGAACTGTCTGTATATACATGTGTAATTTCTTGGTCATCAAACCACAAGGGTGGATACCCAATTCGACATGTTGTGCTTATTTCACATTGCATGCCTGCTTCAAAACATCTTATGTACCCTTTGAACATATATACCTACTCTGCACCCCCAAAACTAAAAACTAAAACAAACAAACAAAAAACCCACAGGGAGCCATAATAGAGCCTTAGTAAGGATTGTCCAATATACCCCAGTACTGTGGACTTTGATCTGGGTGCATTACTTAACACTGCTGTTTCCTGGGAGAATGGATTTATGTGATTAACACTTGAGAAAGAGATTACATGTGTGGCATTGGGGCAGAATTGCTAGTTGTTTCCTGATATCTATGCTCTACTTTTCCCTGAGTAGTTGAAGGAAGATTTTTAGCTGAGAACACAGTCACTGAGTTCAACAACTACGTTCATCAGTATTTCTGGCTGTAATGTTGTAATTTGAAGTATTCTATAACATTTCTAGCAAGTGTCTGTAAAAGGAAGGCCTTTTATTGTTCCTTCCCCACTCCCCCAGTTCCTGTTAGACGGAATACAAGGTGATGCCTAGAGGTCGAACAGCTATTTTATTTCAGTGGCAGTAAGGTATGACAGAACGTGAGAGAAGGAACGTAACTCCTTCATGGCACAGAAATGCCAACCCAGCCTTGGACCGTTATCCTCTGGACTTCCTTTACATAACAGAAAATCAAACTTCTGCTATATAAAACCAGAATTTGCTTGGAATTTATATGGTATTCCAATAAACTTAATCTCATATGATATTCTGCCTTTCGCTTTTTAAGGTATACCTCCTTCAGAGTAGATATCATATGCTGATCTTACCCTGGAAATGAATATGGGGTGATGTTGAAGTCAGCCCAAATGATCATAGCCAGCCATATGTGAAAACAGTATCAAATGAACAAACAGAAAGCAATAACAATAACAAAGAAAACAATCAGGCTTACAACAATTATTTAAAAGCATGAAGCTTACTTTATTTTTACCCAACTTTATGTTATATTTTATCATTTATTTATGAGCGAAACATTTTCTCTTATAGACCATGTAATGCCACTATGGCAGGAGAAATTACCAACCCTTGGAATAGATGAAAATAAATTCGAAGCAATGAGAGGTTGATTTGACCAACTTATGATTTGTACATGACTCTTACCAGGGAAATAAATATCATGTTGTTTGAAACTTCCTTCTCCTTTTGAACAAAGACTATTTAACTTCCAGCAATACATGATCCAAATGAAGAAAAAGCAAAATTATCATTTAGTCAAAAAGGAAATGTTGAGAAAACACTAGTGTACTTCAGCATGCCTAAAGAGTATGCAGCCAGTCCTAATGATACCAAAGAGACAAAGAGTAGTTATTTTATTATAAATTGCACACCCAATTATTTTCATTGATTTAGCTGGTAGGTACTGACCCTTTAAAGTGGGGTTGGAGAATTAAAATTAATTTTCCAAAATATTAAGTCTGTTCCAACTAAACCCAAAGTAATATATTGAATGGCCGTAATCATCTAATAAAACATGCGATACCTACTTCACGGGGGGAGTGATAAACATGATGTGGAAAATAAAGTAGGAGAGGAAGTTTGAAAAAATATAAAAAAAGAGTTTGTCCAATGATAATGTTTTGTTATCTTGAACTATTGGACAGAATTCAACATTGGAATCATCTTAGTGTGATGTCTTCATTGTGGGAAATATTTTGAATACACATGAAACTATCAAATAGATGCAATTCTAATTATATTGTCTATGCCTACTCCTAATTATATTTATCTATGCTACCCTTTCTCTTCAGTCTTTATAAAAACATTTTACCCTTCATGATAAAATTTTTGCGTATGTCCTTCTTCTTCTGCAGTTTAAAATTAAATATGATGATATAATCATAATGAGGCAATGGTTTAGGCATCCAGCTTTCCATGTTACCCGAAAATGTTCTAAATGTTAAAACTTCCTCTTTTACTTAACATAGTTTTGCTTCTATTCTGAATGCAGAAATTAAGGCTCTTTTTATTTTCTTAGATTATGAAAGAAGGTTTTCTATGCCTTTTATTTTTTGAATAGATTTTTCTATTGCCTTAACACATGACATGTACTCAATTCAAAACTGAAATAATTGGTACCAGGAAATTATGAGTCAAGAATTTTCTAAGCACTTTATATACATCAACTCATTTAATCACCAAAAGGACAAAAGTCACATTCTATAGATGAGGAAACTGATGAACTGAGAAATTCTTTGATTTGCTCAGTATCATACCTTATAAACAAGGTCAGGATTTGAATCCAGTATATATGGCTTGAGAGTAGACACTTAATCATTTTGATATACATTTTATTCTTAAATTTGTTAATGAAGCAGAGAACTGTGACAAAAATCTAATCTTTTTCCCCATGTAGCCTGCTATATTTTCGTGTGTCCTTTTCAGATTTTTTTTCTATATGTTTCCAAAAATGATGCCAACAGGACTCTTTATTAAGTGTTTTTGACATGCAGTGAGCCATTTAATTGGCATCAGTCTTCATTTATATCTTTGATATTTCTTCTATTCTTTTGAACTGAAATCTTATTCAGTACACTTATTCTCCATGTATAATTTCTCAATTTTTTGTTGTCTAGATTTGCCATGTTACTCATCATGTTTATCATTGTAACTTTTTCTGAATTATCTGCATCTTGAGAAAACATCACAAGTTTTCTTTATCTGTACCAATTTTCTTTTCCTTAACATGAATACCACCACCTCTTTGTGGGTTTTAGCTCTTTTCTTCCATTTTACTTATTGCAACCTTTCTTTCTCTATCATTTTCATTTATAGCTCATCCTAAATTTCCATACCACACTCTCTTCACTATTTATATCTTATCTTTCATAAAAGACACATATTCTTATAGTCTAATAGAGGCACATCATTTATAGTATAATAGAGTTTCTTTGTTTTATTTTGGGTCCTATAGTAGATCATTTTCAGATACTTGTTTTTACTCCGACTCATCCAATTTTATTTTTTATTTCTTGCTTCTATGATATTATTTCCTAAGCACGTTGATCATCATTAGAGCTAAATAGATGACTAGATGAAAAAAACTTTTTTTGGAAAATCATCAATAGATCATTCTAGATTTCTTATTTAATCCACATTATCTTTGGTTTGTTGACATATCAGTTTTGCAAACCGAAAGCACAACTCCGAGCCCAAATTCTGATTTGTATGTTTTGTTATTGCTATTGTTGTTTTCAGTGTTTATTTGTTCTAATGAGGGAACATGATTATTTTATTCATACTTCTGGTATTTAAAACTTTAAATTACTACTGTTCAAGATATACAAATTTAACAATGTAAAATTTTACAAAATACATTTTTTTTTGCTCTTCCCAGCAATGAGTACACTATTTTACTTCTAGGAATGCCAAAACATTTAATTGTTGATTAGATATTAAATGCCTTAAAAATCCAATATGCCTGCTATAAAGAGAACAGCTTATACCTAAGAGAGTAAGAATGTTAGGAAATTATTTTAGAAACACATTGGTACAGTCATGAAGAGAAATGAAGTTGATTTGGACTGTAGTGGTGCAATACAGATAAAGAGATTTAGAGATATTTCCAATATATTTTTGAGATAAAGCAGACAGGAATGATTGCAAGAATTGAGGGAAAGAAAACTGTAGATAACCTTTGGGCCTAATGTGGTGCAATTTACTAGCAGAAAACAAGAGCTGGGTGGGGATGGAATCAAGAATTTGATTTTTGCCACTTTATTTCAGATGCCTATTACATGTTACATAGCATAGTTAGATATTTGAGTTTAAATTTTAGTAAAGTGGGTATAGATATAGATGCATTGTATACTGGATTATTGTGAATTGTTCCTCACTTCCCTCCTCTTCCACATGACCTGGTAGAATAAGTGAATTAAGTACTCCTAGCCAAATGAGTTTAGACTTGGTCAATATGCCCTGCTGTGGCCAGTGGAACAGTAAGAAAGGTAATACATGCAGATACTTTCTCAGTCAATGTTGTTACCTTGCTCTTTTTGCCATTTAGCACCGGGGAACAATACATTGAGTAACTGTCAGTTCAAGGAGAATGAGGAAGCTTGGAGCAAGCCTGAGCAATACACAAATTGGAGGCAAATCAAACTGTTGTGAGTAGAACTACAGCTACGTGCAGACTCGTTGGAGAAATAAATGCTTGGGGGTTTTGTGGTTAATGTTTCTTCAGTTTTTGCAATAGATACCAGGCAAATGCAGGAGCAATTGGCTTATAATGTAGTTCGAGTAAAAGTGTGGAAATAGGTCAGTAGACGGTCTGGGACATATAATACAGTCCCAAGTATTTTGAAAGTAGGTTAATTGAGGGAGGAGCAGAAAAGGAGATAGACTGGTTAACGTTGTATGTAGGTATCTAAAGAGCCAAGAAACTAAGGAATGCAATGAATGCAGCAGAAAAGTAAAGTAAGTTGACATTAAAAATTGTTTATTATATTTAGGAACATGAAACACAAAAGAGATCCACAAAGATATCAAAAGAAGATAACTCTTCAGTTCTCTGGAATATATAGTTCTTTCGTCTTTGAATTTAAAATTGATCCAGAATAAAATAACTAAGAATGAAATATCTTCCTAACTTTTTTTCCAGTTATGTAAGTCTTAAGAAGTGAAACAAATTCGAGTTGTATGCTGAAACCTAGGTAGTTTTCTTTTTCTCTTTTTCTCCCGAAGTATTGTCCTATCGCTATAATTAATGGTACTCAAAAGACTGATTACATGTATAAAAATATGTTAGGCAACATTCAAGCAGTCAAAATTGTATTATACTACAAAATTAGATTTTTTTCTTTTGTGTTTCCATGAGTGTTTTACTGAAAAATAAAAGACATTTATCTGATAGTATGATCTTCAATTCAAGGTCTCTCACTTTGCAAAGGTTTCACATTTTCTAACATTTTGTTTTCTTCTCAGAAGTTAAATTATTCATTTCACAATGTAGCCTAATTTGAAAATAATGTATTCATAAAGAAGTATCCTATGTCTGTGAAACATATTACTTTAATAAAATAATCACTAAAGATTTATATTTCAGAGGCAATTTTATTTTCACAATTTCAGTCACATAATTTTAATCAAATCATTTTTAAAAACAAAAGTATTTCATTTGTTTCCACTATCTGTTTCTTTATTTTCTTTTTGTTTTCTTTTGAGACAGAGCCTCACTGTCACCCAAACTGAAGTGCAGTGGCATAATCTTGACTCACTGCAATTGCTTCCTACTGGGTTCAAGCGATTCTCCTGCCTCAGTCTCTTAAGCAGCTGGGATTACAGACGTGCAGCACCACGCCCGGCTAATTTTTGTATTTTTAGTAGAGATGGGATTTCACCATGTTGCCAAGGCTGTTCTGGAACTCCTGAGCTCAAGTAATCCGCCAGCTCGGCCTCCCAAAGTTCTGGGATTATAGGTGTGAGCCAGCCAGGCCCAATATCACGTCTCTTAAATCTTAATTGATTTCTTTGTTTCTTTATAATTATGTTTCTTTTTCGCTCCTTCCCTCCATGCTTGCTTCTTGTCTTTTGCTTTTCTTTTTCTCTTCCTACCTTCCTTTCTCTCTCTTTCTCTCTCTCTCTCTTCACATACACACATGCACACACCCCAAAACACTTCTATGCATGTATTTTGGCAGAGTAGAAATGAAAAGATGATTGATAGAGTCTTGTGATGTGACACTGAATATTCTATAGCACAACATGAAGTTTAACCATAGAACTTTTCATTACTGATAAGAAATTATTATTTCTTAAAAAATGTACTGTGGGAAATTTTCCTGAAAAAGCAGTGAAGTACCTTATTTCTTACATTATCTTGAAATAGAACCCCCCCAAAACACACACACACAAAACCCTCAAAAGCAACTGCAAAAATCACTTATCACTCCTGCAAGCTTCCTTTATTTTACCTTGTGTGAAAGCAATTTTCATTTGCATTTTATTGTACCTTGCAATAGCAAAAGGAAGATTTATATAGTATTTTGCTCTGTAGAAAAGTACAATATATATAAATTTCTGTTGGATATGTTCTGTTCTTTGGTTATGCTTTGAATTCTGAAATATTTATTTTCAGAAATCATTGTCAATTCCATGTCATATCATATAGCTAATCATTTAAATTGTTAATGAAAAGGGAGAAAAAATAAGAGAACATTTTACAGTTCGGTGGGCTTGTTTTTCTCGGCTGCTTTTGTACTGACAAGTCTAAATTCTAAGTGTATTTCTAAAATTTCATTGTTTACTTTGGAGAGAAAATAAAAAAAATTCAATTGATCATATTAGGTTTTTCATTTTCTTTTCACAGAGGATTGCACATCTTTCTCTTCTACAAGTGGCTTAACAGATTATTTGTCTCACTCCCACCTCCCGTCATCATTTTATTATTATTCTTTAAGCTATATTGAATAGAGCTATTTGTCCTGAAGGAGTTCTGACCCACATCTTTTCTTAACTCAATTTCTATAAAAGAAGAAGCTGAGATTCAGAGAGAATATAAATAACTTTCTCAAGGGTGATCTTTCCTTTGTGTGCTCTGACACAAACATGATTGGACTCCAAAGTGTGTTTCTTTTTTTAATCTAACACACCATGGTTATTTATTTATTTGCTTTTAACTTTTCCTGATGGCAAATTCACTTACCCATTGAAGTCAATACAAGTTGTAGACTAAGTCTCATTCCTGAACTGAGTGATTGATTTGGGTTTGAGTCACTGGAAGTGATGTAACTTTAGGACTGCAACATACTCTTGGTACAAGTTCTATCCTGACTATCATAACCAATTTTTCAGAAAACCTTAACCAAATTCCTGGGTTCCTGTGTCTTCCTCTCAGAAATGGAATCTCATGTTTGCCTACTGTATTTCTCCCTTATGACTGATTCCTGCACCTGAGCCCCAATCTCCCAATAGGTCTTATTTCTCTCTTTCTACACTTCTTTCTTTGCTGTAAGGGGTATTGGAGATGCACAATTGATAAGACACAGTTCCAGGCCCCCAGAGCCTATAGTCCCTATTAAACTGTTATGATGGTAACCCAACTATCTGTCTTTTTAACACTTGGATGCACGTCCTACATTTAATGAATTCGTAAGTCTTCTATTGATTTTGACTGGAAGTAAAAATACACATTCTGGTACGACTACCCTGTGAATATTAATATCCATCAGTAATGAGAGTATATATTTCCAAAAAAAGTATATGAGATACCTAAATTAATTTAAATATAAAATAAGATTGTCTACTTCGTCTTTGTTTATACACTCCATAAAAACTCAAACATTGGTTTTCTAATTGAAATTAATTATGGATTATTCTTTTCCTCTTAAGGAACTACCTTAACATACTTGTAATTTTCCCTGGCATTTTAAGAATTATCAGCTGTATTCATGGGGTTCCAAAATAAGTAGCTACATCCATTTTTAAACTCCAGATGTTAAAAAGAAGAATAAAAATGGTCAGATATCATGTATAAAGCAATTTTTAAAGAAAGTCAAATTTTATTTGCTGTTCCATCTGCTGAGATTGTTATATTCGTTACTCAAGAAGTCAGTTCTATTCATCTTCAATGGGACAAATTCTCAAACTTCATATAACACCTGGGAAGAAATTATTCAAATAATGCTTTCAACTATGTGAATTTGTCAGTGTGAGTTAAAAATGTAATCATGGATTCCTGTTTGTTGAAGAAAAAAGAATATGACATTTCACATTTGTATATTTTAGATTATATGGCCAAGTGATTTAATATTGCTTCAGACAATGCATCTTTTAAGTACCATGATGACAGATTGAGAAAAAGAATTAACTATGAATATATTTTATTTGATTATTCATTCATTCCTAAAATCTTGTTTACTTGACTTTTTTTCCTTTTAAATTTTCATTTAATAAAGAAAAATATATTCCTGGGGTTATAGCCCTATATGGGATGGAAATATTCTCAGAGACTTCTTGAAATTCAATGTTCTGAACTTTTGGTTCACTCAAAGATACACAAACAGTAGAAAGTAAATTTTTGTTAGAAAAATACAAAATTCTCTCATCTGAGATTGAGAATAACAAAGGTCAATAGTGATAATATTTTAAAATTATTTTGAAAGTAACTATTTTCTTAAATATATAAAACTATAATTATGTTTTAAACATACCTCTATTTTATTTCTTTATGCAAGCATACTCACTGACACAAAGGTGAAAATTGATTCATTTGTATTGAAATAGATAATATGAATTCCTGGCTACATTAGAGCTGCATGAAAGGTCATTTTTACTGTTATATCATATTATTTTTCAACAACACATCTAACACCTATACTAAGAAAGTTTAGAAGCTGACAGAGAATAGGTTACATAATAATTATGTAAGCTAATACTCTTGAAATATACCTTCTGTGACATCTGAAAATATAGTTAGAATGATGAAAATTATAGACCAAGCATTTTTTGTTTTACTCATATTTATTATATAGAGACAGATATCTGATAAAATTGAAATACCATATTATTCAGAAAAAATAAAAGATGTTCATTCTTATGAAACTGTTTTTGTGGAAGGTGGGTCAAAGGAATGATAGCATCAATTATACATCAAATCTAATGAATAAAAATATACTGTAGTAACTAGAATTTGTGTAATATAGAGCTCATATCTTGGAGAGAAAAAGAGGAAGAAGAAGGGGATAGAGATAAAGACGAAAAATAGAACGAAGGAGAGAAGTCTCTAGGTGAGGAAAGCAAACAATGAAAGCAAATTTATTGTAAAAATTAATCCCAACTCATAAGTTTGGAGCCTAGGAAGATTTGCAGTCCTAGATAAATGCTGGCTTTACTAAGGATTCAGGTGCTTGATTTTCAGATTGTTAATCCATTGTCTGGTCTAAAAAAATTACTTTGTTGAATGTTGGTAATGTAGCAGGTGCAAACTTGGTTTCTAAGAGACAATCTCACTAGAGAGAAAAAAATTATTAAGACATATAATAACTAGATCATAAATTATTAAAATGTATAATCACATGCAATTTAGGTAAGGGAAGGATCACCATAGTTTGGGATATGTAATAGGCTTATGGATGGACCTTAAAGATACCCAGTTGTAATCTGTGGAAGCTGCAAATGTTACCTTGTATGGAAAAAGGGACTTCGCAGATATGACTAAATTATAAACTTTGGGATAGGTGTATGGATAGATTAACTTGGATTGTCTGGGTTGGCTCTGAATGTAATCTTAGTATCCTTTTCAGAGGAGGGTAGAGGGAGATTTGACTACAGTATAAGAAGAATGTAATAATGGAAGCAAGGGGCAAAAGGCAATGTGGTGAGGGGTCATGAACCAAAAATGAGGACATCCTCCAGAAAATGCAAGGAAACTGATAGTGATTTCCTTCAAGAACCTCCAAAGAGAGTACAGCTCTGCCAAAGCCTAGATTTTGACCCAGTAAAATCCATTTTAGATTTTTGACCTCAAGAACTGTAAGAGAATAAGTGTGTGTTATTTTTACACTACCAAGTATGCGGTAATTTATTGCAGCAGTCGAGGGTGTATTCCTAAATTCATTTTTATGTATTTATTAATAATTATGTGCTAATAATGCCAACAGTATTTCATCACTGTAGGAATAAAGAAGTTATCTGCAAACATAAAGCTTATACAGTTTGGAAAGTATAGAATGCAATAAGATGAGTTCGGAGAATGTCAAGTATTGTGAAAAATAAGATCAGAATATTATAAAAGAGAATAACTTTAAAGAGAGTGAAATACAAGCTATATACTTGGAGAAAATCTTTTCAAATCACATATGTAACAAAGACTTTTCCAGAATATGTAAGGAATAATCTCAGAAAATAAGAAGCAACTCAATTAAAAATATATACAAAGACTTGAAAAGATACTGTACCAAATATGATGTAAAGATAGTAAATGAGCATGTAATAGATGCTCCACATCCTCTGAGTTAAGGGAAATGCAAATTACAACCACAATGAGATACCAGTAGTCACATTCTGGAATAGCTGAAGTTTAAAAAAATATAGAGAGACAGTACCAAATATTGGTGAGAATACAGAGCAATTGGAAGTCTCATGCATTACTGTATTGGTGAGAATGTAAAATGATAGAGCTACTCTGAAATACTCTTTGGTAATTTATTACAAATTGAAATATGAAGTTACTCTATGACACAGCTATGTAAATTTCAGTCGTACTCTGGAGAAAATGAAAACTTATTTCTATTCAAACACCTGCACATAAATGTGTATAGTGGTTTTATTCATTATTACAAAAATTGGACATCATGAATGTACTGAAACAAGTAAATCATATGCATACAGTTGTACATACATGCAATGGAATACTATTCATGAATCAAATGGAATGCCCTATGGATACAAATAAGAATTTATATAAATCTCAAAAAGACTATGCTGAGCAAAGAAAACAGTCTCAATATGTTACATACTATTTGATTCCATTGAATTGAAATTCTGATAGAGAATGATAGTGATGATGAATACACAGGGAATGCCTGAGCTTTGGGATGGATGGAGTGTGTGACTGCAAAGGAATAAAAACTACGAGGAACTTTTGTGGATTTTTGAATAGTTTCACATCTTATTTTACGTACGGGTATACAAATCCATACATTTATTAAAATTCATAGACTATACACCAAAAGACAAAAAATAGGTAAATTTTGCTATATGCCCATTTTAGTTTATTTAAAGATAATTTTTTGAATGCTTCTCCAGCTTTCTTTTTGTTCATTAAATATAAGAAAAGAATAACAGTGGTAATAATGAGGCTGACAAAATTAGATAAAGTGGGAAAAGAACGGATTTTGAAGAGATGGAAGCTAAGCAGAAAAAAGAATGGCAAGAGAATTCAACTATGTGAGGATCTAGGTCAGATGTGTTTCAGTAAAGGTGACCACACGAACAGTTGAGGCAAGGATGAGTTTGGCTTTTCTAGAGGAGAAAATGTTGGTGGCATATAGTGAAGAGTGGAAGGAAGGTGACACTATAATGAATTCGGAGAGAGATTAGTGAAGACATTCTTCACTGAACAACTAGGTCTTGAGTAATCAGAACAACATGGGAATTGAAAAAATAACAAATAAAAACAATAAAAGAAACTTTTAGTACTCTCCTTTCCTGGGAGCTCTCAACTCTGAACTGTTTAACTGCTCTGCCACGGTCGCTGATTTGGCAAAAAAATCTTTACTGCCTTCTTGACTTCTTTCCCTTCTTTTCTCCCTTCCTACCTTCATTCTTTTTTATGTTTTTATGTTATTGTTATATTTCAATTTACCTTTTTGCTTCTTTATGCTATGTCACCAGAACTAAAATACAAATACTTTCCAAGTAAGAGTGCATCTAAATTTTAAGAGCACCCTCAAGACCCACAGGCTAGTGTCTTCAGCTTAGTAGCCACTGGGTGGGTATTGATAGAGTTTTTGTTTGTTTCTAAACATTTTAATAAAATGTGTACTCTATTAAAAATGTAATATAAAGTTTTCTTTTAAAAAGTATTGTAATACATTGAAAAATCCAAGTAAGTTTTGTTTGGAATTTTTTTTTTTTTTGAAATGGAGTCTTGTTCTATTTCCTAGGCTGGAGTGTAATGGTGCGATCTTGGCTCACTGCAACCTCTACCTCTCGGGTTCAAGCGATTCTCCTGCCTCAGCTTCCCCATTAGCTGAGATTACAGGCACCCAACATCATGCCTGGCTAATTTTTCTATTTTTGTAGAGATGGGGTTTCACCATGTCGGCCATGCTGGTCTCAAACTCCTGACCTCAGGTGATCTGCCCACCTCAGCCTCCCAAAATGCTGGGATTACAGGGGTAAACCACCGTGCCTGGCCTGTAATGTACTTTGAATTTATCTCAGTAATGTTTCCTGCACTTCAAAATGTGTAAAAAAATTACCAAGATAATTAAAAAGATAAGAAGAAATGGTCCTATGCAAAAATGTCCAGTGATCATGATATATATTTAGATTACAAAATAGAAGGTTAAGGGGATAATTGATACCTGTTTTCAAGTGTACTACACTTGATTATAAGAGTCATGTTGACCATATTTTCTAAAATTATGACGGTCAGGATAAAGGTAAAATCAGCATAAGTTGGTGCTATAGTGCTAATTATATACATGAAAGAAAAATTTTGTTTAACCATGATGGTATTTAGTTACTCAAGCAAGTTATCATGGGGATTACAGAATTTGAATCCTGGAAAATGAATGAATACTTATGTACATTCTTAGATTATTTATATCTTAAAACAAAAGTCTAATACAAATTAATCCTTCTAAAATTATAATTTTTCTATCACAGAAAAAAGAAAACTTCCTTTAAACTAGAACTCCTTTGTACAATTAATAAAGTTGCTTAATTTAAAAAAATTCAATGTCAATTTGTAAAACACACTTTTTTTATGTTAGAATATTTTTATTAATTAAATTCAATAATATTTTTGAGAATACTTTCTAAGTAAATTAAAAATACTAAAGAAATAAAATGTTAACTTCATAATATCTGTATTTTTTCTTTTTGGAATTTTTCTTTTCTGTTCTTTTTACGTTTTAATTTAAAAATCTGACAGATAAAATTATATGTATTTATCATATACAACATGAAGTTTTGAAGTATATATCTGTTATGGAATGACTAAATCTAACTAACATATGCATTTCCTCACATAGTTATCAGATAGTTATAATAGTTATTTTGTGGTGAGAACAGTTTACATCTACTGTCTCCAGGATTTTTCAAGAATAGAATATATTGTTATTAACTATTTCTCTACTATGTAATATTCTTTCAAAATATAACTTGTTTTCCATAAGCAAAGGGAGCATATTTTATGTCTCTTAATTTATCTCAGAGTTTAGCATACAGCTAGGTACAGAGAGAATAATTATACTGAATTGCATGTAGTAAAGCCATGTGTGCTCCAGATGATAAAGAGTAATTTATCAAAAAACATTCAATCATTATTCTAGGTGATGTTAGGTATAGAACAAGAATATAAAATAATCAACTATTAAAAAACAGATAAAAATTTACAGGATATAATTATTGACATGATGACTTTTCATAAGGGTTTATGCTATTAGATACACAATTATGTATTAGGACTTCAAGGATGAAAAGATTATCAGCAGCTAAGTAGCTGTGAAAGTCTTCTTTTATGTATTCATAAAATAAGACTTAGGTTTTGCCTGTTTCGCTTTCTTCTGGGATGGGAGATACAGACATAGAACCCTGGCCTCTGCAAAGAAGGTGAAGTTGGGGAAGTGATGATATTGCAGAGAGAATGAAAAAATGTAAAGGCATAGAGTGTACATTATCATGGTTTACTATCAGGATGTCCTGGTAACTGCTGGAGGTAAACAGGAAATATGGTCGAACACCATGGCGCCATATTACAATGCAGTAGGGAATGGAATAGGAAATGTTACCTTAGACAAAGAAAAATTATATTGGATCAATTATTATTAAGTTATGAGACATAATGAATGAATCTAACATTTATATTCTTGAAATGCTGTTCACAGTGATCAGAATTTTATTTTAATCTGTGGTATATTAACAGCATTGGTTTAAAATAGTTCACCTTTTTTTTTTAAGAAATGTGAAAGATGTGGCACAACATTTTATAATCACCTGGAATGATTCAGTATATATAAGGCAACAGTTTAAAATGAGTCAATTTCTGTTTTTCATCAACTAACTATATTTATTAACCAGTTTTACCAAGTACTGCCATACTTCAAATTCTTTTTTATGGATTTATTTTTCCCCTGACAGGAAATATTCCTAAATGAAACATTATCATACAGAAGGTATTGACGTTTCAGAGATTGTCGTCTCTTTCTAGATACCCACTTCAGTCTCTTTCTAAAAATTTTTCTATGCCACTTGTAGGTATATCCTTAAGGAAGTCTGATATTATCCTAATCCATCTCAAATAGCCACAAAATTTAGCCTTCTAGTTTAAGCCTAAAATGCATACAGGAATCTAAGGATAAGTGAGAAAATTTCTCTCTGCCTAAAAATCACAGCCTATGCGGCCAGAAATCCTGTTCCTTGACTTTGCTCATTAAAATTTAATATGTTCTCTTAAAATAAAAATATTTTTTGATTAGTAACACTCCTAGACATCATTCATTTCTATCTGAATTACCAGTTAAGATCGCAGCAGGTATTAGCCACCAAGCCAATAACAGAATGTAATATAAGCACTAAATTTGTGAAAAGAATCTTAGAGAAGGGGATAATATTCTACAAAAAGGAAAACTGTGATTTATTGAAAAAGTAGCATATATTGCACATTTGATAAATTTGGTGAGGCGCACTATTTATTCCAGCCTTAATCCGTTGTTCTTGAAGACTTTGTAAGAGTTTTTTCTTCTTCATTCATTTATTCAGGCGATTCTTAATCTAACTGTCACCATTAGTATACAGTTCTACCTTAAAGTATTATAGACCATCACAGATTTTCCATTTTTGAGGCAGGTCAAAGTGTGCTAGAGAACGCATTGAACATATTGGCTAGTAACCTGGATAGGCCCAAGACTGGGCTAAATCAGACTGCAGAGACATCTGAACAACAGAAGGCTAACAGCTACTGAAAGAGGCTGTAGGTAAATCTGAAATTTTCAAGGCCTGATAACCATAAAACACTAATCTTCATATTCACAGCAGTATAAATGCAAAGGTTTAATGAAGCAAGATGAAAACCAGAGGAGATGAAGAACTGGTGTAAAATAAGGCAAACCAATGTCAGGCTATCATTGCAAGAAAAGTCTGAATATTCCAGAGGTTCCCGGGTATCTGTCCATAGCAGTAGATGTCGGCTAAATGAGGAGGGGAAGAGCACGTTGATTCATGGGTTAAGCCCATCAGAAAGAATATTACACTAAGACAAAGGAGGCAAAACATCTATTTTTCTTTTTTAAAACAAAATCTTTCTAATTAGCCCTATGACCTTGATTAAGCTACTTGATATTCCCCACTTGTATGCTAGTTAACATTTCATACTGATGTGTCCAGGAGGCTGTTGGGCACTGGGGATACAAAAATGAATAAGGCATAGGTATAATTACACGGCACATGCTTAAAGGAAGCTGACTAGACCACAAGATACTGTGAAATTCTATTATGCTAACTTTGTTAGAGATACAATAAAAAATTGTTACTGCTTTCTATATTGTTGGTTTGTGTTGTTTGTGTTGAAAAGCCACCTCAGTAAATAGGGAATTTTTAAAATTGCTCATAGAGAATCTAAAAAAAAAGCATATCCATACTTGTGTGTCCATTGGAATTTTTGTGCAGGTTTTTTAATTAATGTATTCAACTTCACAACTAGCCAATACACCCAGGTCATCAGGCCATTTCCTAATATGGTACATTAACCAGACAGAGAACCATATCCTAATTTTGATTTTGAGTTTTCTTTGATTTAACATTTTTTTCAAAGTGATAATATGCCTTATGATAAGCAAAACATACTTTGTTTGACCTAGACATATTACAGATGTTTTTTCTTTGTTAGATTTATAAACAAAATCTTTATGGCCTCTCTCTCTTATATGCGATCATCATCAAAATTTTTCATTTTTACTTTCTAAATGTATTTCACATCCATCTAACTCTCCTCAGGCTAAGGGACTAGCATCTACGGCAATGGCATCCTTTCCCTTTTTCCTCACGTCTACTCTAAGCCCTCCTAATCCATTTCTCACACAGCCAGCAGGAGATCTCCTCACAATGCCAGTGAGATCATCTCATGACACTATTTAAAATCTTTGAGCTGCTGCTTCCTTTTGCTATTTTTAAATATACATGCATACACATGTTCACGTTTGTGCATATATGTGTATGTAGTAGCCTGTTTTCATACTGCTACAAAAAACTACTCGAGACCGGGCATTTTATGATGAAAACAGATTTAATTGACTCACAGTTTCACGTGGCTGCAAGGGCCTCAGGAAACTTACAATCATGATGGAAGGCAAAAGAGAAGCAAGTATGTCTTATCATCATGAGCAGGAGAGAGAGCAAGCGAAGAGGGAAGTGCCACACTTTTAAACCATGAGATCTTATGAGAACTCAATCACTAGCGCAAGAGCAGGAAAAGGGAAACCACACCCATGATTCAGTCATCTCTCACCAAGTCCCTCCCCCAGCACAGGAGATTACAATTCAACAGAGATTTGGATGGGGACAGAGAACCAACCCATATCAGTGTATATACATACACACACATACTACCTGGCCTGTTATCTATCTCCTGCCTATCTTTCTCCTTCCATCAGTATGGTCTTCTATCAGTTCCTCCAAAGCACAGTTCTCCATTTTACTCTGGATTTTCTCAAAGGCTAACTTCTTCCTAGCATGCCTTCCTGCCCATTTATTACTAAACGACGCCTCCTCTTCCTGCAAGTTTTAAATATGATTTCCTCAATAACCTTCTCTATTGCCCAAAACTCAGAATTCCCACTCATTATATAGTATAATTGTTCATGACACATTTACTTTATAGTTTATCAAAATTGATCAGTATGATATTTTAATAAATGTATGAGAAGACAATTTTTTTAAACTATAGCAAACAAAACACCAGAGCAAGACTTTAGTGTTTTGGGGGTCTGGGCTCCCTTGGACTAGGAGAGATTTAGTATCATTTTAATGTGTGTCACGCATGCCTGACATTTAGAACACCTCCATGCTTACCTAATGTTTTCAGGTCTGTTCCTGCCGTAGAAATTTCAATGAACCTACCCACTGGGGAAGAAAACAAAGCTTCCATACTTCCATCATAAAAATGAGGAGTGGCCAGCAGCCTAAAATATAATTTTTATTAAGTCTCTTCCATTGGATCATATGCTCTGTGAGGTCAAAAATTATGCCTGTTATTCTGTTCCTAGAATCTGCAACTGTGCTTCACACATACTAAGAACTCAACAAATGGCATAAATAAATAAATAGAATTCACTATTCCAATGTTGCCTCTGTCTAAACTTTTGATACTATTTCCATTCCTAGACTCACCTCAGCTAATCCTTAATGTATTAGGTATGTATTTGTCATTCTTATAATGGATATATTTGCTTCAGTGAATAACATATGCATGGGAAGATCAGAAGTCAGAAAGTTTATGTACCCAATGCTGCCTCTGCCTAAACTTTTCATTCCACTTCCATTCCTAGACTCACCTCAGCTAATCATTAAAATATTTAGATATGTATATGCCATTCTTATAATATGAACAACATGTGCATGGGCAGATTAGAAGTCAGAAAGTTTATGTATCCAGCAGTGTCTTAAAGTCCACAGTTCTAATATATTTTGAAACCACTAATGGTTTTTAACTCAATAACTTCTAATTAGTTTTTCGAAGGCAAAAGACAAATTGAGGCATAATTGAATTTATCTAATTTAAGCATTCACATCTTAAGAGAGGACGGGAGGGGTAGAGAGAGGGAATTAGAAATCAACACATTAAGAGAAAGAAGCATGACACCAACTTTTTTTTTTATTTAAAACATTTTATGGCATGAATCTGTTTTCACACAATATGTTCCATAATTCTCTTTCCAAACTAAATCACGTTAGCTTTTAATCATACATAAAATGTCAGTTCTTAGACAAAGCACAGCAATAGATTTTTACAAAATTTACCCTGATAAATTAAAGCCTGACATTAACTCTGCCAAATCCTCTAGTACAATCGCTTTAATGAATTTCAACATAATTAAAAGAAAGACATTGCAATTCAAAAAAAAGAAAAAAGAAAAAAAAACTGAGGCTTTCAGTTTGATTTTTTTTCCTCTATGTTACTTAGTTTAATAAAGAAAGAAGTGTAAAGGAGGGATGTTTTAAAATGTATTGCTTTGCAAACAAACATATTAATAATAAAATACAAGTAAGAGATGAAGGTAAAATAGATTTTGAAATAAGTTGTAAATGTCATTTTCTCCCTTACCATGTCTTTTATTTTAAACAATAATCTTATTAAAAATTGTAAATGCTGTATATGCAACAATGTTAAAGGTGTACAATTTCTGAAGAGAGGCAGAAAAATATTGTTCTGATGAAGTTTAGAAAATAGTACAATAAGACATTTGGTTTACATTTAGTGATAGTTTACTAATGATTCTTTTTTAATGACTATTTAAGTGCATTTGGAGAATTTTAAAAATAATCAAGAAACCAATAAGAATCATGATGTTCAGAGAAAAGAACCATTATTATGAGAACTGCTGCTGTTATTTAGCAAATAGAATAGTTTGTAAATTGGTTATTTTATTTTTCAACAATCTTCATTTGTGTCATGTGCAAATACCAACATCACCTTTTTTTGTTGAGTGTTTATCACCAGTGTATCAGGGGACACTAGTGTTCTTTCTGTCCAAATTGCCCTTTGCTTTCTTGTCTTTTTAAAATTATAGTTCTTCCAGATAGTCCCTGTGTTACTCTTTCTGAGATACCTTTCTGAACATTCTCACCTGAACCCTGCCCCAAACCACACAGTCACTTAAGCATAATAAGCTGCTTTCCCCCGAGTACCAATAACACAGTGCTATTGCACCCTTCTATTGCATTTGCATGAGGTCTTTTCTTCTATAGCCCCACATACTATCAGCACTGGGAAGTCTGTTTTATATCTGTGTATCTGCATCTAACCTAGCACCTATTCCAAAGGAGCCTCTTCAGAAATGTCAGGCATTTAAACCTATCGTGTAAAATCCAGGTTAGAAAACAGTTTATACATTTATATTCAAGAAAATCTACATTTGTGTCCCACAGACCATTTTCTTTAGAGTATTTTATTATGCAAGTCTCATTTTGATATATGCTATAGATCATGTCACTCTGACTGACACCAAGGTGATATTTTAAAACACTCACAAGGATGATTTAAACCAAGGGCAACAAAGACACATACCAAAATGGACTAGAAAGTAGTATAATTGAAATAAAATAAAATAACTGAATGAAACAAGGCTGGTGCGCAATACACAATGTGGGGAGGAGTATAGCTAAACATTTATTTTTGCCATTATAAAGGAGGCAGCTACTACTCATGTGCAGGTAATTGTTGCACAGAAAGGGTGTAGTTTTAGATACCTTGAATTGTCATGGGAAATGAAATCTTATATTAACTAGTTTGTACTCACTTGCGACATATTTATGGCAATTTTCCTTTATTTTTTCTTATGCTATTTATGGAATTGAGACCATTGGTAGCTCATATCTAAAAAGAATGAACCTCTCAGCTTTTCCTGCAAAGGTACAAATGATACGAATATCTTTAGTTTTCAATGCATACTTCTGATGAATATTTCTGCATATGTGAGGATGCCAAAATATCTTATCCTGGGGTTCCCAGGTTTACCACTAGTCATCTAACTAACGCTAATACATTTTGTCTTAATTCTTCATATTTGAAAGCAATCAATTCATCAAAGTATTGTGTTGCCTTTGTGTTTTAATCAGTAAAGCACACTTTAAAATGTGGTCTGCAAGGGGACTTAAAGAATCTGAGTTTTCTTATGTTGACGTAAGAGTCAACATACTTGATTATGCAAGAGTTTGATTTAACACATTCACCATTTTGATGCACAAATTACCTTTTCTGCATCATATGTGTTCTATAAATTAAAAGAAAAATATATTTGATAAGCTTCTAGATGAGTTTAGTTTCCTCTGAAATTGCAAAAGTGTTTTTGTTTAATATTTGAAAACTTATTCCACTTAATAACTTGCATTGAAGAAGCAGAAAATCTCAGCCGATCACAGTGGCTCACTCCTATAATCCCAGCACTTTGGGAGGCTGAGGCAGGCGGATCTCCTGAGGTCAGGAGTTCGAGACCAGCCTGGCCAACATGGCAAAGCCCCGTCTCTACTGAAAATACCAAAATTAGCTGGGCGTGGTGGCATGTGCCTATAATCCCAGCTACTCGGGAGGCTGAGGCAGGAGAATTGCTTGAACCCGGGAGGCGGAAGTTGCAGTGAGACTCTTGAGATCATGCCATTGCACTCTCCAGGCTGGACGACAAGAGTGATACTTTGTCTGAAAAAAAAAAAAAAAAAAAAAAAGAGAGAAGTAGAAAATCTATACTTATTGCCTTGCCTTATTGAAGATAATAAGAATTAAAGTAGTATATATTTAAAGTATCTTATTTATAATTAGCCCTTATTTCCTGGTTCTTTCATAATCTCTAGAGTGCGTATGTTCTCTAACTTCCCCTATGTTATCTTATTGATATTTTATAGCCTAGTTCTTTGATAATTAACAGTATTTGGTTTTATAAGATCCTGGTCCTTGAAGTCTTATTATAACAAGCAATTTTTATTAATTATAACCAAAGCCAAATTAAATTTTATTTTTAAAATTTTTACTTATAAGAATAAAAAGTCATCTCACTGTCCTTCAAACATGTCTTGGAGATGCTGATATTCTGTTTCTTATTCCTAATCTCATCTTCTCTTCCTAATTTATGTATTATGAAATATAAAAACTGCTGACATTTTTAAAAACTCTTCCAGGTCATAGTAATTCATTTTCCTGAACTCTTCTTATGCATTATATTGTATTCCACTGCTTCAGATTTTTGGGTCATTTTTCCCCAAGGTGGCTGTAAATAAGTACTGCAAGAACAAAAGATTTGAGCTACTGTCTCTTATATGTGCTATAATTAACATAGTGTCTTGAATATTGTAGTTGGTCAATAATTTTATAGAGAGGCACCACCAGAATCTAAGTTGGCATTGTAACTTGGAACACAAAATTTGTCTAAGACAGAAATGGAAAAGAGATTAAAGTTCTCTCATCATCTAATAAAGAAGTAAATACATTCATAAAAAGAAAGAAAATAAACTTTTCCTGACTCTATCGGTAAACAGATAATCATTACATAAATGTATTTGAACAGCCTAATGAACATGCCTTCAATATCAGTGTCATACTGTATTAAATTTTCATCTAGTTGTTACTTATTTCTATTCACAATAACAACAATAAGCATAAATGCAGAATCAATTTTCTATGAGAAAATCTCTGTGGGATTAAAATCATATTATAGCATAAGTGTGAAGACTTCTTGTTCTAAAAAAGAACCATTGAGTTGTTTTCATATTACTGATAGAATAATATTGTAGATGAAGTAGAAGATAATGTAGAAAGTTAGGTTGGATATAGATATATAAATAAGTAAAAGCATTTTAATTTAATTTTAAGGAAGATAATTGAAAGACTGTATTGAAGGAGATACATTATTAGACTTGTATTTTGGGACAATAAGTTGGGCTGTTGATACAAGATACACCCTAAGTGCTATGTATTTATTCTATTGAGCTAACTATGCAGAGATGTTTCAGAAGACATCTGTAGAAGCAATACTTGATTTAAAAATTGAGAAAAATTACCGTCCATCACTCACAAAATGGTTACATTACATAGTATAAATCTGTATTATTAAACACTACAGAAAGAAAGATTTATGTTTATAAGTAGAGAAAGATCTGTAAAATATATTAGTAAAAGAAAGAGTTTCAGCCTCAGACTTTTACCCTAGAATAGTACTGGAGACAGAGTCATCCTCATGTTGACAGAAAGGAAAAAATGGACAACATTCAAATTCACAATTTATTTAACCCTTCAGAAACCTGAGTTTACAGAGCAACCAACTGGCTCAAAGTCCAGAGAGATGGTGCTTAAAAATGGAGAGGTCAAATAAGAGTTGAGTTAGAAAATATGACACACTGATTAAGACTGAATATGGGATAGCAGAACAGTATTAAAAAGCAGCTATTGGGAAGGGGCAAAAAAGTGTTTCTCAGAACATTTCTTTCTTGCCTTTACTACAATATGAAAGCCTTGATGTGTGGGGAAAGAATGGCAAGTACTACTACCTCTAGGGGACTGGTGGGAAATCATTGCAGAAAGGTGGAGGGAAGAATGAAAAAGACAACAACAAAGAGCAAAAAACAAATGCAAACAAATACACTTTAAAAAAGACTAGGGGAGGAAGATTATTATACATTGAATCCCTAGGCACTGAGACTAAGTAATATAGCCATTTTGGAAAATAGTTGGCTAGGATTTCTTGAGAAGATTTAAAATTACAAATTTAATTGCATTACTAGATATAGGATAATTCTGGTTATCCATGTTATCTTGAGTGACTTGTGGTAATTTATAGATTTCTAAAAATAATTAATTAATTTCTGTTATTAATTGTATTAATTGTAGACTCAGTGTCTGTAGGGTTGTAGTAGTATCACATCCTTCATTCTTCATATTGTTAACTTGTGTCTTCTCATTTTCTTTTTTC
This sequence comes from Homo sapiens, assembly GCF_000001405.40. NCBI lineage: Eukaryota > Metazoa > Chordata > Mammalia > Primates > Hominidae > Homo > Homo sapiens. Next base: position 80,373,580 of record NC_000003.12, read on the forward strand.
TGAGAGGGAGTCTTGCTCTGTCACCCAGGCTGGAGTGCAGTGGCACGATCTTGGCTCACTGCAACCTCTGCCTCCCAGGTTCAAGCAATTCTCCTGCCTCAGCCTCCGGAGTAGCTGGGACTACAGGCGTGTGCCACCACACCCTGATAATTTTGTGTATTTTTGTAGTAGAGACGGGGTTTCGCCATGTTAGGCAGAATGGTCTCCATCCCCTGACCTCGTGATTCGCTCGCTTCAGCCTCCCAAAGTGCTGGGGTTACAGCAGTGAGCTACCGCGTCCGGCCTCTCGTTTTCCTTCTATTCATTTGTCAGAGGGTCATCTATTTTATTGTTTTTTTTTTCAAAGTGTTTCTCTGTTTTCAGTTTATCTTATTTCTGCTTCCATTTTGATTACTCTCTTCATTTTGCAAACTTGGGTTTATTTTGCTTTTCTTTACTAGTTTTGTAAGGTGGAAGCTTATTGATGTCAGACTTTTCTTCTTTTCTAATATAAGCATTTAATAATACAAATTCTACTTTAAACATTAATCATAAATGTTGATATGTTATAGTTCTATCTTTGGCCAGTTCAAAGTATTTTCTAATTATTTTAGTGACCTATGAATTATTTAGAAGTAGGTTGTTTTATTTCAAAATGATTGCATATATTTGTATTACCTTTCTGTTAATTCCTTTACGGTCAGAGAATATCTCGGGGTTTTTTTTTTTTTTTTTTCATTCTTTCAAATGTTTAAGTTTAGAATATGGAGAAAGTGCATTTTTTTATTTGGTGAAGTGTTCAACACATGTTAATTGTAATTCTGGACTGATGATGCCATTAAATTATTCTATACTTTGCAGATTTTCTGTTTACTATTCTATATATTATTGAGAAAAGTTGTAGCCTACATCTGTAATTATAGATCAGTAGATTCGTCCTTTCAATTCTGTGAGTTTTTCCATCCTGTATTTTGAAGCTCTCTTATTAGCTACCTACATGTTTATTAATAATTAATATTAAATTAATAATTAAAATAGTTAAAATTTAATAAATAATAATTAAAATTTAATTATACATTAAAAATAAATTATTGATTAATTATTAATTAGTAATTAAATTATTGATAGTGAGTATAACTAATTACATTTAATTAATTAATAAAAAGAGGACAAAACCAGAAAATGATAAATCAAACAACAAAGTCTATTAAAATATAATGACCTAAGCTCACCAATTAAATATAATATTGTAAATATAAATATATTTATACAGACACACACACACATATGGTTCTCCTGCTTTTCCTTTTCAGGCTAAATTTTAGTCAGACATTTTAGAGTTTGCTCTAATTGTTATACATACTTCACATTTTGCGTGCAATCTGTATTTTACTACATCAAACAGAATGTAGTAACCTTGAAATTAAAAATGTCCCATTACTTTCCCTCCTTTGTGTTTAGTTCATTTATATATTGTTTGTGTGTGTGTGTATGTGTGTATGTGTGTATGTATATATACATATACACTATATATATACTATATATATACACTATATATATACTATATATATACACTATATATACATACACATTTTTATATTCTATATATACATGATATGTATATTTATCTATCTACTGAAAATTTTAACTCGACACTTAATATTTCTGTTGTTGTTCTTAATTCTTGGTATTCCAAGTTTCCTTTTCATATCATTTTCTTCCATCTGAAAACCTTTTTTTTTTCAATTCTTATAGAGCAGTTATACTGACATTAACTTCTATTAGTTTTCATTCATCTGAGAATATATTTAACTTCCCTTCATAAAGTATATTTTCATTGGATCTAGAATTCTGGGTTTACCTTTTTTCGACTCTATAAATGATTCCCACTTCCATTTGGCTTCCATAGTTTTTGATGAGAAATTTATATTCATGCAAACCATTGTCCTCCTATAAATAATGTGTGATGTTTCTTTGCTTTGAGAATTTTCTATTTCCCTTTTTTAGCTTTAGTTTTTTTACTTTATCTTTAGTTTTTAAAAGTTTAATTATTTTATTAGGGTTCTCTAGAGGGACAGAACTAATAGGATATATGCATATATGAAAGGGAGTTTATTAAGGAGAAATGACTCACACGATCACAAAGCAAAGTCCGATGATTGGCCGTCTGCAAGTTGAGGAGCAAGGAAGTCAGTGGTGCATTAGTCTCAGTCCCAAAACCTAAAAGGTAGGGAAGCTGACAGTGCAGCCTTCACTCTGTGGAAAAGGCCTATGAACCTCTAGAAATCCACTGGTGTAAGTCCAAGAGTCCAAAAGCTACAGTCTGTTGTTCCAGCTCAGGAAGCATTCAGCCCAGGAGAAAGATGAAGGCCAGAAGACTCAGTAAGTCGGTCATTCCATCTTCTCTTGCCTGGTTTATTCTAGTTGTTCTAGCAGCTAGTTAGATGGTACCTATCCAGACTGAGGGTGGTCTGCCTCTCCCAGTCCACTGACTCAAATGTTAATCCCCTTGGCACAGATACACCCAGGAAAAATACTTTGCATCCTTCAAGCCAATCAAATTGACACTCAATATTAGCCATCACAATTATGATATTTCAGGAAGGTGTTTTTGGGGTTTTATTCTGTTTGGGCCGTTCTGAGCTTCATTAATCTGCAAGTTTATATATTTTATCATATTTGAGAAGTTTTCAGGCATTATTTTTTCACATATTTTTTCCTATACCACATTCTTTTTCTTGTGTCTCTGGACCGCCAACAACACAGATATTAGGCCTTATGTTGTTTTCCTCCAGGTCTCTGAGACTATTTATTTGTTTTATTTTACCTTTTTATATCTGTTATTCAATTGAATTTTTTCTATTGCTGTGTCTTCAAGAATTTTTTCTATTGCTCTGTCTTCAAGATTTGTTTTATTTTACCTTTTTATATCTGTTATTCAATTGAATTTTTTCTATTGCTCTGTCTTCTCACTAAAAGATTAGTGAGTCTTTTGTCCATCATTGCTATGCTGCTGTTGATATATTCAAGGTTTTATTTTTTTTAAAAAGTTATTATATTTTAAAAGTATTAAATTTCCATTTTGTTTGTTGCAGTGTGTATTTACTTACTAGACTTCAACCTTTCAATTTATTTCAAGAGTATTTATGCAATTTGTTGGAACACTTTTATAATGGATGCTTGAAAATTGTTGTTATTGAATTCCACCCTCAGTCTCATAGCTGTAGTGACATCTGAGGTTTATCTTTTCCCACATAAGTTGATATTTTGCCTGTTCCATATGCCCATTTTGGATTGTGTTTTGCATTATATTTTTAATATTATGTTGTTACCAATTCCTTGCTTGCCAGTTCTTTTATGATGATTTTCCCAAGCTGTTGAGCTAGCTAGCTTACATTTCATATGCCCACACTGTGCTGCTTCTTCTTCTTTTTTTTTTTTTTTTTTTTGAGATAGGGCCTTGCTTTATCGCCCAGACTGGAGTGCAGTGACAAGATCTCAGCTCACTGCAACCTCCGCCTTCTGGCATCCTGGGTTCAAGTGATCTCCTGCCTCAGCCTCCCAAGTAGCTGGGATTACAGGCGTGCGTCACCATGCCTGGCTAGTTTTTGCATTTGTAGTAGAGACGGGATTTCACCATGTTGGCCAGGCTGCCCTTGAACTCCTGATCTCAGGTAATCCACCCGCCTCAGCCTCCCAAAGTGCTGGGATTACAGGCATGCATCACCACACCTGGCCTACTGTACTTCTTTTTAAAATGTGACACATTTTTCCTAAGCAACTGAGGAATGTCAGAATTGTACTTGTTAATTCTCTCTGGCAAGAGGAAAAAAATTATAAGCAGTCAGAAAACAAACAGATTTTTCTTTCTAGCTTTGACAAAATCCAACAAGCAAAGAGCTTAGAAGTTGTCACTCTTGGTCATTCAAGAATAAAACTTAAAATAACTTTTCTTGCATCTGTTGAGAAAACAGATGTTATAGGACGTTCAACTACTCTAAAATCAGGAGAGACAGGCACATCAAAAGATACACAGAAACTGAGATCTATTATCCAGAGGAGAAGTCACTGGAGCCATAAACTAATAGGACCATATAAATGATAATGTTGTTAAAATGTTGAATACAGACAACCATAAGAATAAAAAAGTTTCTTGGTGATGCAGTCTTATTGCAGCCCCTACACTTTTGTGGGCTTTACCTGCAGGAGCCATACCAGTAAGAATCTGAAAAAGATCCTTTCCCGGATCTGACAAGGAGGAGGAGAAGAGTCATCCTTTAGATAGATCCAGAGTCTTCACTATGTAAATGGACTGCTTTCTAGGGCTAAGTCACGGATAGTGTTTATCCTTCTGGGAAAGGAAATTTCTCTGCCTCCAGCTGCTTTCAGTCTTGCTGTTTTACCTAAAGAGGAAAAAATCATTTTCAACAGGTATCAAGGCTTCAAAAATAGATTGGAAGTCTCGTAGCCAGGGAAGGGAGTGAGGGTGGGGATGAGGAAAAACAAACAAACAAACAATAGCACTGGAGAAACACTTGTGAATGTCACAGCTCCAAGCCACAACCCCCATATTTTACCATCACCCTGGCAGGGCTCCAGCACAAAACAACAGTTATAGCAGAAAGGGCTGCAGGTCAAAGGGTCCCTTGAAGGCAGAGTATCTAGTGAAGGCCAAAGTCAGGAGACAAAAGCCAGATTAGAGGAATTTGAAACTTTTGGTACCTATAGCTATTTAAATTTTTCATGTGTAGCTGAAGAATGGAGTGGGAATATAAAATTTCCCTCTGAAGGTAACAATATCCTTATTTAGATCTTACTATATTCATATTATTCATAAGAAAAAAAATACTGAATTTTTTTTTCCACTGCGACAGAACACAGTTCCAATCCTGTTTCTCCCACTGTTCTTCTTGTCCTAGTTCATTTGTGCTGTATTAACAAAATTCCATGAATTGAGCAACATATGAACAACAAAATTTTATTTTTCACAGTCCTGGAGGCTATGTCCAAAATCAAAGTGCTGACATATATGATGCGTGGTGAGGACCTTCTTTCTGATTCATAGACAGTGCCTTCTAGCTGTGTCTTCACATGACAAAAAAAGGAACAGCAGCTATCTGGGGCTTCTTTTATAAGGGGGCTAGAACCATTCATGAGTGCTCTCCTCCTCTCACAACTTAAAGTCCCACTTTCCACTACCATCACACTGATGATTAGATTTCAACATAAGCATTAGAAGGAAATACAAACATGGAGCCTGTAGCATTTATAATACTCTTTTCCTGGTTTCTAAGTTTGTGATTTATCAGTTGGCATTTGAAGCACAATGACTGTTAGTTGTGAGGTGCATTACTGCATATTGCAGGCACTTAGCACACATGGCCACCTGAGCACTCAAGTCCAACTGGACCCATATGTGATTGTGAGAATCAAAAACTTCTTTCTATTTTTCAAACACTCTTTTGAAGGAAACTCCCCTTAGGCTGCAAACCACTAGTAGGTAATGCGAGTGTTGGACCCAGTTCTAAAATTATAAGACTATCATAGCCCAAAAAAGTTTTGTACACTTGACAAAAACCATGTTATTTCATCACTAATAATTTTTGTAGTTAACACTCTAATTGTCTGAAGAATGGCATTCAGTTACCTTTCTCAGTTTTAATGTTTATGAAAATCTCCTTACTTATATCACCCGGAGCCCATTTTATCTGAATAATGAACTATTTGAAATAATCAGTAGCTGTATTTTTTTTTCCTAATTAGCATTGATTCAGCTACTTGTAACTGTGGAGGCTATTTTGAAGGTAGGGAAATTACAATATAGATTAGTTATAACTGATATTCCAAATAAAGTAGTGGGGAAGAATGAGGTTACCAGAGTTAATTTCTACTAATTTACACTTAATAAATCATCAAAGAGCAAATTAAATTATCATAATAAACATAATATAATTGTCTTATCTCTATGAGTAATCACTCAATAACTTTAAATTAGACATGTAGTCATGAGTCGCTGACTTTATTTTAACCACAGTTCCTTACCAACTTCATATTTCTCTTAAAATAATTCCATATTATGGTTATATATGATGTAGGAGGGAAGGCTTTCCCTTTAAACTCTGAGGCTTCAGTAACCCAGTCAATGAAATAAACCAGGCAGATCAACAGGAGAAAAGGTTGCCAAATTTATTGTATGAATACCCCAACAAAAGTAAGACTTAGGAGTTCATATGCCCTCTTCATAGTGGAAAGGGGAGGGAGCATGTAGGGAATTTAGGGGAGGGGAAATTATTTTTAGGAAAGATGAAAAAACCCTTAAAAGAAGAAATGATAGTTTCTCTCAAAGTTTGGGTGCTAGTCTCTTCTCCTGTGATTTGAAGAGTTAATCTTCCTTAGTTGATGTAACTTTTGGGGAGAAGATTGATGACAGTTGAGTTTCTTTTGGAGGATCTGTCTCTAAGTAGAGAAGGGGAGTTCAGAGATATCCTCTCCCTGCATTTGCTCTTATTCAAATGGCATCAGCTTGAAGTAATCAATATACCAAAGCAGTATATTTTGGGGTAGCATTTCCTAAAGTCCTACATTAGTATATATGAGCATGTATGGGAGTAAAAAGAATGATGACAGCATTCACTTTCTGAACCCTTGCTTATCATGTAGAATCCTTTTCAATTATGACCATTATAATACTGGTGAGGATTAGCAATGAGGATTCCATGAAAGTCCTCTAGAGCCTATATCTGGGTTCAAATGAGAGAAACAAACACAGAAAAATTATAATATGAGGTCAATGAAAAACTTTCTGAATATTTTTATTAAAACATTATTAAAATATATTGTTTATTTTTTATTTGACAAATATGTTTACAATGGCTGTGGTATGAAGTACACAGGGCATGGTAATGACAGATGAAGCTAGAGAAGACAGGAAATTCCAAAACATAAAATATCCCTCTGTCTCTGGAGATGAGTTCATCTTTCACACTTTTAGAGCTGCAGGAAGGCACTGAAATATTGTAATCACAAAAGGCATTTATACTTCTAAGACTTTATCAAGATCACTCTGGTAATAGTTTAGAAAACATATTTTTAGAAGAAGTTGATTTTATGCTTCTTACATTATTAGATTATTAAATATATTTTCACAAATTCATTGTTTTATTTAATCTAATAATAAGCTTTATGCTAAAAATTATAAAACTTTTCACAAGCGTATTTTAAATATTATGCTTTGCCAATTTTTCTTTCCATTTCTTCCTGCCTTCCTTTTATGAAAGTATTTATCTTTACTGTGTTTTATAGTATGTTTGTGGTCTGGAAAAAAATCCCATGAGGAAATCTTTAATAACTTAACCATCGGTATCTTAGTTTTTCTACAGTATTGTTAAATCTTTGCCATCATAGAACATCGTGAAATTCAAGTAAGGTTAGATTGAATTTTTTTTTTTCTTGAGACAAAGTCTCACTCTGTCGCCCAGGCTGGAGTGCAGTGGCGCGATCTTGGCTCACTGCAAGCTCTGCCTCCCGAGTTCACGCCATTCTGCTGCTTCAGCCTCCTGAGTAGCTGGGACTAAAGGTGCCTGCCACCACACCTGGCTAATTTTTTGTATTTTCAGTAGAGACGGAGTTTCACCATGTTAGCCAGGATGGTCTCAATCTCCTGACCTCGTGATCCTCCTGCCTTGGCCTCCCAAAGTGCTGGGATTACAGGCGTGAGCCACTGCGTCCGGCTGGTTAATTGAATTTTTGACCACAATAATTGGAGTAAAGAAAGAAAACTGGCTCAATATGGGTGAATTGAGTTCTCTCACATGGCAATTTAAAATAATTTTAATTATTGTGATTAAGACAAACTATATGAATGATAGAGATTAAAGAAGGACATTCTTCAAAGGTCTTAAATTAATTACCTAGAACAGTATGTGATAATTATTTCCTTGGGAGTGATTTGTCAACTCTTTATTGGATTCAGTATATCAAGTGTCCTCAAAATAAATACAATTTTCTTGAGCTATTTTTATTTGTTTTATGTTTTTTAGAAACAAAATAACATGTCTTCCATACTATCAAAATAGCTATTTGGCAAACTAAATAATTAAATATCTGCTGATGTTAAAATAGCTAGTGCATTGGCATCTCTGTATATAAAAAAATATATATATATCTGTTTATTGATTTGCATATGTTAAATCAACCTGACATTCCAAGAGTGAAGCTTACATGGTGAATTAAATTTTTGATTTGCTGCTAAATTCAGTTTGCTAGTAATTTTTTGAGGATTTTTGCATCTCTGTTCATCAGGCATATTGTCCTGTAGTTTTCTTTTCTTGTGTCTTCACCAGATTTTGGTAGGAGAATGATGCCGACTTCATAGAAGGAGTTTGGGAGAAGTCCCTCCTTCTCAATTTTTTTTTTTTTTGGAATAGTTTCAGTAGGTTTACTAATAGCTCTTCTTTGTATATCTGGTACAATTTAGCTGTGAATTCATGTGGTCTAGGGTTTTTTTTTTTAGTTGGTAGAAGTTTTATTACTGAGTCAATTTTAGAACTAGTTTTTGGTCTGTTCAGGATTTCAGTTTCTCCTGACTCAATCTAGGGAAGTTTTCTTTTTCTAGGAATTCATCAGTTTCCACTAGATTTTTCTAGTTTGTATGCATAGAAGTGTTCATAATAGTCTTTGAGGATCTTTTGCACTTCTCTGGGTTTGGTTGTCACGTCACCTTTATCACTTCTGACTTTGCTTATTTGAATTTTCTCTCTTTTTCTTGGCTAATCTACTTAGTGGTCTATTGACCTTCTTTATCCTTTCATTGTACCAAGTTTTGGGTTCTTCGATCCTTCATATGTCTTTTGGGGTCTGAGTTTCCTTCAGTCGACTCTGATTTATTTATTTATTTTTGTCCTCTAGCTTTAGGGTTAGTTTGTTCTTATTTTTCTAAATCCTCTTGGTGCTGTGTTAGATTGTTAATTTGAGATCTTTCTAAATTCTTGATGTAGGTGTTTTTAGCACTGAAAACTTTCCTTTTAACACTGATTTAGCTACATCCCAGAGATTTTAATATGGTCTGTCTTTATTAATTATGTTAGCTTTTTTTTTAATTTTTGCCTTAATTTTGTTTTTTACCTCAAAACCATTCAGGAGCAAGATGTTTAGTTTCCATGTAATTGTGTGGTTTTGAGAGACCTTCTTGGTATTGATTTCTGTTTTTATTCCACTACTGTCTGAAAATATGAATGGTATAATTTTGATTTTTTTAAATTTATTGAGGCTCACTTTATGGCCAAACCTGTTCAAACTTAGAGTATGATACATGTGCAGATGAGAAAAATGTATATTGTGTGGTTGTTGGGTGAAGTATTTTGTAGATGTATATTAGGTGTTATTGATCATGTATCAAATTTAAGTCTAGAATTTATTTGCCCATTCTCTGCCTTGATTTGTCTAATGCTATCAGTGAGGTGTTGAAGTTTCCCACTATTACTGTATGGCTGTCTGAGTGTTTTTGTTGGTCTAGAAGTACCTGTTTTATGAATCTGAGTGTTCCAATGTTGGATGTATGTATATTAAGGATAGTTGAGTCTTCTTGTTGAATTGAACCCTTTATCATTATGTAATGCCCTTCTTTGTTCTTTTTTACTGTCATTGATTTAAAGCCTGTTTGATCTGATGTAAGAATAGTAACTCCTGTTCTTTTATGTTTTCCATTCGTATGATGGATCTTTCTTTATCTCTTTACTTTGAGCTAATGGGAGTTATTACATGTGATATAGATCTCTTGAAGACAGCAGCCAGTTGGGTCTTATTATTTTTTATTTAGCTTGCTGCTCTTTGCCTTTTAAGTGGTACATTAAGACCATTTACATTCTAGTTTAATATTGATATGTGAGGTTTTGATCCTGTTGTGCTGTCGTTAGCTGGTTGCTTTGACGTCTTGATTGTGTAGTTTATAGGAATGTGGGCTATGTACGTAAGTGTGTTTTTGTCAGAGTAGATTTGTTTAAAATTTAATAACTCCCATAAATATCTCTTGTAAGGTCAGTCTAGTCAAAATAAATGTCCTTAGCAATTGCTTGTCTGGGAAGGATGTTATTTTTACTTTGCTTATAAAGCTTAGTTTGGTGGGATAGGAATTCTAGGTTGGAATTTCTTTTCTTTAAGAATGCTGGAAATAGCCTCTACATTCTTCTTGCTTATAAGATGTCTGCTGAGAAGTGTGATGTTAGCCTGATGAGCTTCCCTTTGTAAGTGATCTATAGCTGGCTTTAAGATATTTTTTATTTCACATAGACCTTGTAATGTCTGGTGGCCGTGTGTCTTGGGAATGGTTGTCTTGTGTAGTATCTTGGAGGGGTTCTCTAAATTTCCTGCATTTGCATGATGACCTTTCTAGCAAGAATAAGGAAATTTTCATGGGTTATATCTTCCAATATGTTTTCCAAGTTGCTTACTCTCTCTTCTTATATCTTAGGAATTCCAGTGATGTATAAGTTTGGTCTTTTTACAAAATCTCATATTTCTCAAAGGCTTTGCTCATGCTTTAAATCGTTTTTTCTTTATTTTTATCTGACTGGGCTGATTCGAAGGACTAGTCTTATATTATTTCTTCAGCTTTGTCTATTCTGTTGTTAAGGCTTCCATTTGTATTTTGAAATTCCTGTAGTAAATTTTTTAAACCCAGATGTTCAGTGTGGTTCCTTCTTAAAGTGGCTTTGTCATCTTTCAACTCTTAAATCATTTTATTGTCTTCCTTGGATTGGATTTCAATTTTCTCTTAAATATCTATGAACTTCTCTTCCAGATCCTGAATTCTGTGTCTGTCTTTTCAGACATTTCACTCTGGTTAGCATCCGTTTCTGGGAAGCTAGTGTGCTCCTTTAGAGGTATAGAACTACTCTGACTTTATGAATGTCTGGAATTCTTGCACTGATTTCTTCTCATTTGAGGGACTCCTGTTTCTGTTTCTTTTGGAAATGACTGTTTGGATGGTTTTTTTGGCTTCAATTTGTTTTTTTCTTTTGGGCATTTGATGGGGGTGTGTTGTGTAAAGTTGATTGGCTTCATTTCTGAGTACTTTCAGAGGGTGAAGGCTCTGTATAATTTCCGAGCTGTGGCTAGTTTCCTGCATTAGGTTTCACAAGTATTGAGGGCTAAAGGAATTCAGTTTTGTTTGGTGAGGTAATTCAGGCTATGATACAGTAGATGGTGCTTAAGATTAAGGGCTGGCAAATAGGCTTTTAATCAGCATTGTGTGTCTTGTATTTCAGAGTACATTCAGCAGTGTCCTGGGGAGTGGGAGATAGCGGGGCAAGAGATAACTCCCTCACCAGGTCTCTTTCTGGGCCTTGGGGGAGCCCCCTCCAATCACTAGTGCTATGCCTGTGTTTCCTGAGCCCTAACGCAGACTCTTGTGCACTGCACTTTCCACTCCCCTAGAGCCATCCGGAGCTGAAGGTTAGGTCAATAGGGAAACCACACCTCCTCAGGAACCTGCTGGTCCTCTAAGCTGGGCAGAGTCAGAGCAGGTTTCGGGGAATGTCTGCATTACCTCTATATTGACTTTATTTTCGCTCAAAAGATCTGTTTGAAGTATGATGGTTTACTTGATACTTGGTTTCTCTTGGTGGGAGAGGTGCTTTTCAGCTGCATTTAGTTGGCCATCTTCTTTGCTCCCCAAAAGAAGAAAGAAAGAGAGAGAGAGAATGATTTAGTATGAGGCTTTAGCTCACTTGATTATGGAGGCTGAGATGTCCCAAGAACTGCCATCTACAGGCTAGAGGCAGGAAAGTAGGTGTTGTAATTTCAGTCTGAATCCAAATGCCTGATGACCAGGGGAGATGATGGCATAAACTCAGTGCAAAGGCAGCAAAATATTGATGTATTTTTCTCAAATAAACAGGCAGGAAGGAAACAAAAAAAGGCAAATTCCTTCTTCCTGTGACTTTTTATTCTATTCAGACTCTGAAAGGATTAGGTAATGACCAACCACATTGGGGAAGGCAATCTATTTTATTAAACCCACTGATTAAATTACTAATTTCATCTGGAAACCTCCTCACAGGCATACCCAGAAATGATATTTAATCTGGGTAACCAATGGCTCACTGAAATAGATGCATAAGAAACCAATCGCATATAAGAAAGGTAAATTGTGCATTGAAATATTTATTCTGCAAGGTACATGGCATGAGTGGTGATTGTGGATCATGGGGAGGAAGAAGATAGTAAGCTGAAGAAGAGAGTGAATATGTTTAACCACATTGATGGTGCCAATTTGCACTTAGTAAAATGCTGTGTTATTCTCTGTGTATGTTCACCTCCTGAAGTTTGAGATGTGTAGTTACTATGAAAGTACGCTCAGGCCTCTAGAGAAATGTTTCATCAGATTTCAGATTCTATGGCAATTGCACATGAAGATTTGGTTCGTGTTTATAGAAAATTTACAACCAAATTGAGGAGACAGAGCTAGTGCAAAGAAAAGAAAATTTATAGGTAAATGTTAGGGATAAGCTGAGTGCTACAAAATAATTGTTTACGAAATAAATTACACAGTTTTCAAAATTCAGAGGTCACTTCCTCCTTCTTCTCCCTTAGCCTGTGTTCTCAAGAACTTAAAACCTCTTCAATTCACACCTGACCTAAAACCTAAACACCTTATTTTCTTCTGCAATACCGCTTGACCCCAATACAAACTCGACAATGGTTCCTAATAGCCAGAAAATGGCACTTTCTATTTCTCCATCCTACAATATCTAGATAATTTTTGTTGTAAAATGGGCAAACGGTCTGAGGTGCCTGACGTCCAGGCATTCTTTTAGACATCAGTTCATCCCTAGTCTCTGTTCCCAATGCAACTCATTCCAAATCTTCCTTCTTTGCCTCCTGCCTGTCCCTTCAGTCCCAACACCAAACATTGCTGAGTCTTTTCAATCTTCCTTTTCTGCTGACCCATCTGACCTCTCCCCTCCTCCCCAGACTGCTCCTCAGGTCACTCCCCACCAGGCTGAATCAGGCTCCAATTCTTCCTCAGCCTCTGCTCCCCGACCCTATAATCCTTCATCACATCCCCTCCTCACACGTGGTCCGGCTTAACGTTTCATTCTGCAACTAGCCCTCCCTCACCAGCCCAAAAATTTCCTCTTAAAGTGGTGGCTGGAGCTAAAGGCATAGTCAAAGTTAATGCTCCTTTTCCTTTATCCAACCTCTCCCAAATCAGTTAGCATTTAGGCTCTTTTTCATCAAATATAAAAACCCAGCCCAGTTCATGGCTCATTTGGCAGCAACCCTGAGACGCTTTAAGCCCTAGACCCTGAAGGGTGAGAAGGCCATCTTATTCTCAATATGCATTTTATTAATGCATATTAATAATGCTCCCAACATTAAATAAAGTTCCAAAAATTAGATTCTGGCCCTCAAACCCCATAACAGGACTTAATTAACCTCACCTTCAAGATGCACAATAATAGAGAAGAGTTACAATTACTTGCTTCTGCTGTGAGACAAAACCCAGCCGCACCTCCTGCACACAAGAACTTCAAAACACCTAAGCTACAGCAGTCAGGCATTCCTTCAGGACCTCCCCACCCAAAGGATCTTGCTTCAAGTGCTGGAAATCTGGCCACTGGGCCAAGGAATGCCTGCAGCCTGGGATTCCTCCTAAGTCGTGTCCCATCTGTGCGGGACCCCACTGGAAATCAGACTGTCCAACTCAGCTGGCAACCACTCCCAGAGCCCCTGGAACTCTGGCCCAGGGCTCTCTGAGTGACTCCTTTCCAGATCTTCTTGGCTTAATGACTAATGACGGATGCTGCCCGATCGCCTCGGAAGCCTCCTGGATCATCACAGACACTTTTGGTAACTCTCACAGTGGAGGGTAAGTCTGTCCCCTTCTTAACCAATATGGAGGCTACCCACTCCACATTACCTTCTTTTCAAGGGCATGTTTCCCTTGCTTCCATAACTGTTGTGGGTATTGACAGCCAGGCTTCTAAACCTCTTAAAACTCCCCAACTCTGGTGCCAACTTGGACAATATTCTTTTATGCACTCCTTTTTAGTTATCCCCACCTGCCCAGCTCCCTCGTTAGGTCTAGGCATTTTAATCAAATTATCTGCTTCCCTGACTATTCCTGGACTACAGCCACACCTCATTGTTGCCCTTCTTCCCAACCCAAAGCCTCCTTCGTGTCTTCCTCTCATATCCCCCCACCTTAACCCACAAGTATGGGACACCTCTACTCCCTCCCTGGCAACTGATCACATGCCCATTACTATCCCATTAAAACCTAATCATGCTTACCCCACTCAACACCAGTATCCCATCCCACAACAAGCTTTAAGGTGATTGAAGCCTGTTATCACTAGCCTGCTACAGCATGGGCTTCTAAAACTTATAAACTCTCCCTACATTTCCCCCATTTTACCTGTCCAAACACTGGACAAGTCTTACAGGTTAGTTCAGGATCTGCGCCTTATCAACCAAATTGTTTTGCCTATTCACCCTGTGGTGCCCAAACCGTACACTCTCCTATCCTCAATACCTCCCTCCACAACCCATTATTCTGTTCTGGACCTCTTACATGCTTTCTTTACTATTCCTTTGCACCCTTCATCCCAGCCTCTCTTTGCTTTCACTTGGACTGACCCTGACACCCATCAGGCTCAGCAAATTACCTAGGCTGTACTGCCGCAAGGCTTTGCAGACAGCCCCCATTACTTCAGTCAAGCCCAAATTTCTTCCTCATCCATTACCTATCTCGGCATAATTCTTCATGAAAACACATGTGCTCTTCCTGCTAATCATGTCTGGCTAATCTCCCAAAGCCCAACCCCTTCTATGAAACAACAACTCCTTTCCTTCCTAGGCATGGTTAGATACTTCTGCCTTTAAATACCTAGCTTTACCATCCTGACTAAACCATTATATAAACTCACAAAAGCAAACCTAGCTGACCCCATAGATCCTAAATCCTTCCACCACTCCTCTTTCCATTCCTCAAAAACAGCCATAAAATCTGCTCCCACACTAGCTCTCCCTAACTCATCCCAACCCTTTTCATTACACACAGCCAAAGTACAGGGCTGTGCAGTCAAAATTCTTACACAAGAGCTGGGACCACACCCTGTAGCCTTTCTGTCCAAACAATTTGACCTTACTGTTTTAAGTTAGCCCCACATTATTCCTGATACCACACCTGACCCCCATGGCTGTATCTTTCTAATCCACCTGGCATTTGCAATTTCCCCATATTTCCTTCTTTTCTGTTCCTCACCCTGATCACACTTGGTTTATTCATGGCAGTTCCACCAGGCCTAATCGCCACTCACCAGCAAAGGCAGGCTATGCTATAGTATCTTCCACATCTATCGTTAACACTACTGCTCTGCCCCCCTCCACTACCTCTCAGCAAGCCGAACTCATTGCCTTAACTCAGGCCCTCACTCTTGCAACGGGACTACGCATCAATATTTATAGTGACTCTAAATATGCCTTCCATACCCTGCACCACCATGCTGTTATATGGGCAGGAAGAGGTTTGCTCACTACACAAGGGTCTTCCATCATTAATGCCTCTTTAATAAAAACTCACCTCAAGGCTGCTTTACTTCCAAAGGAAGCTGGAGTCATTCACTGCAAGGGCCATCAAAAGGTATCAGATCCCATCACTCAGGGCAATGCTTATGCTAATAAGGTAGCTAAAGAAGCAGTTAGCATTCCAACTTTGGTCCCTTATGGCCAATTTTTCTCCTTCTCATCAGTCAGTCCCACCTACTCCCCCACTGAAACATCACCCTATCAATCTCTTCCCACACAAGGCAAATGGTTCTTAGACAAAGGGAAATATCTCTTTCCAGCCTCACAGGCCCATTCTATTCTGTCATCATTTCATAACCTCTTCCATGTAGGTCACAAGCCTCTAGCCCATCTCTTAGAACCTCTCATTTCCTTTCCATCATGGAAATCTATCCTTAAGGAAAACACTTCTCAGGGTTCCATCTGCTATTCTACTACTCCTCAGGGAGTGTTCAGGCCCCCTCCCTTTCCTACACATCAAGCTCAGGGATTTGCCCCTGCCCAGGACTGGCAAATTGACTTTACTCACATGCCCCAAGTCAGGAAACTAAAATACCACTTGGTCTGGGAAGACACTTTCACTGGATGGGTAGAGGCTTTCCCACAGGGTCTGAGAAGCCCATCGTGGTCATTTCTTCCTTTCAATCAGACATAATTCCTCGGTTTGGCCTTCCCACCTCTATATAGTCCAATAATGGACCGGCCTTTATTAGTCAAATCACCCAAGCAGTTTCTCAGGCTCTTGGTATTCAGTGGAAACTTCATACCCCTTACCATCCTCAATCTTCAGGAAAGGTAAAATGGACTAATGGTCTTTTAAAAACATACCTCACCAAGCTCAGCCTCCAATTTAAAGACTGGACAATACTTTTACCACTTGCCCTTCTCAGAATTCAGGCCTGTCCTCGGGATGCTACAGGGTACAGCCCATTTGAGCTCCTGTATGGATGCTCCTTTTTATTAGGCCCCAGTCTCATTCCAGACACCAGCCCAACTTGAACTGCACCCCAAAACTTGTCACCCCTACTATCTTCTGTCTAGTCATACTCCTATTCGCCATTCTCAACTACTAGTAAATACCCTACCCTTGTTTACACTTTTCCTTCAAACCATCATAACTGATATCTCCTGGTTTTACCTCAAAACCCTTAAGTCTCTCTTAAAGTGGATAGATGATCTTTGCTGACAGAGTACACTCCAATACTTTCACCTTCATGAAGTCTTATTCTTTACTTTTATACTCACTCTTATTCTCGTTCCTATTCTTATGCCACCCTCTACCTCTCCCCAGCTATCTCCACCACACTATCAATCTCAGTCACTCTCTGCTAGCCATTTCTAATCCTTCTTTAACAAACAATTGCTGGCTTTGCATTTCTCTTTCCTCCAAAATCACGGAGGCCTCGACTTACTCACTGCTAAAAAAAAAAAGGCACTCTGTATATTTTTAAATGAAGAGTGTTGTTTTTACCTAAATCAGTCTGGCCTGGTATATGACAACATAAAAAAACTCAATGATAGAGCCCAAAAACTTGCCAACCAAGCAGGTAATTACACTGAACCCCCTTGGGCACTCTCTAATTGGATGTCCTGGGTCCTCCCAATTCTTAGTCCTTTAATACCTGTTTTTCTCCTTCTCTTATTCAGAATTTGTGTCTTCCGTTTAGTTTTTCAATTCATACAAAACCACATCCACGCCATCACCAGTCATTCTATATGACAAATGTTCTTTCTAACAACCCCACAACATTGCCCCTTACCACAAAGTCTTCCTTCAGCTTAATCTGTCCCACTGTAGGTTCCCAGGCTGCCCCTAATCCCGCTTGAAGCAGTCCTGAGAAACATCTCCCTTTATCTCTCCATACCTCCCCCCAAAAATTTTTGCTGCCTCAATACTTCAATACTATTTTATGTTATTTTTCTTATTATTATAAGAAGACAGGAATGTCAGGCTTCTGAGCCCAAGCCTGCACATATACATCCAGATGGCCTGAAGTAACTGAAGAATCACAAAAGAAGTGAAAATGGCCGGTTCCTGCCTTAACTGATGGCATTACCTTGTGAAATTCCTTCTCCTGGCTCAGAAGCTCCCCCACTGACGACCTTGTGACCCCTGCCCCTGCCTGCCAGAGAACAATCCCCTTTGACTGTAATTTTCCACTACCCACTCAAATCCCATAAAACAGCCCCACCCCTATCTCCCTTCGCTGACTCTCTGTTTGGACTCAGCCCACCTGCACCCAGGTGATTAAAAAGCTTTATTGTTCACACAAAGTCTGTTTGGTGGTCTCTTCAAACAGACATGCATGACACAAAACAATAGCCTTATTTCCATATTAATGACAACAATGTCTTAATCATAACAGCAAATTGTTTTATGTGTGTGTTCTTAGGCTTTTTGAAAATTGAGTTTACACATATGCAGGGTTTTTTTTTCTATTTTCATATTCAAAGTTCCTTCTATACTTTCTCTTGTACTGAGATTGAAGTTTATACACATAAGAGAAAATAAATCCTTTGGTTGAGATTTTTTTTTAGTCTTTGGCCAGTTTGTCTATTTGACCACAACAAGACTAATGCAATCAATTTTGATAGGAGATTTCAAGGCTGAAGCAGCCAATATAATACACTCTCTGAGATCAATAAAAACTACCCTTCAGTCATTTTCATTTTCTGTTTCACTTTGTATATCTTTGTTGTAGCTGAGCTGAGTTCTAAATGTCAGTTTTGCAATCTGGTTTTCATTTTGAGTGTTCCAATCTAAGAGCAGCTAATGTTAGAGAGAGAAAGGTTTACTTTATTGACTAGATAGTCAGTTTACTGATTTTAATATTGTTTAAACAGTTTTTTGAAAATTATTTTAAAATGTTTTGTTTAACTTACTTTTTAATTGACAATTTATTCTAGGTCCATAAAATTTTGGAAGGTGGAAAATTGAAAACACACTAACCAAATAGCTATTTATTACATTAACTTATGTTTGGTGGCCTCAATTTTTAAAATCTTCATTTTGAAATAAGAATAAAGAAACAAGTATTATTTCATGTTTCTAGACATACTACATTTTATTCATAATAAAACTTAGCCAATTCACATAGACATTGCAAAACAGATTTCCTTTGGAAAAGCAACTCTATAGTATACCTGGAAACAACTACACTATATATGAATAACACAGAAATTTAGTCTCCTAAAATCTATTTTCTCACTTGCTTTTTAATTACTTGACAAATGTATGATATCACCAAATGTTATTTTATTTTAAACTATTGGCAATGATATGATATCACCCAAAATGTTTATTTGGTGGCAAATGGTACCAGAAAAGGGTTAAGATTATCTCTCTGATATTCAATTTTTAGCTAATAGGATAAAAACACTTTATGTGAAACAATATGTTAATAACAAACAACGGACACCAATTCATAACCTTTCACTCTAAGTAGATTTAGAGGTAATGCATAGAATATTTCATAAATATTGGTCAGTTTCCTCTGAAGGGCAATTTAGATTGCACTAATTTTCTGTTGCTGCATGTATTAATCAGCGTTCTCTAGAGGGACAGAACTAATAGTATAGATGTATAAATAAAGGAGAGTTTATTATGGAGTATTGACTCACAGGATCACCAGGTGAGGCCCCATAATAGGCCTTCTTCAAGCTGAGAGGCAAAGAAGCCAGTCCGAGTCCCAAAATCTCAGAAGTAGGGAAGCCAACAGTGCAGCATTCACTCTGTGATTGAAAGAAAGTCCAAGATTTCGAAAGCTGAAGATCTTGGAGTCTGATGTTTGAGGGTGGAAAGCATCCCACAAGGGAGAAAGGTGGAGGCCAGAATACTCAGCCACTCTCCTCTTTCCACGTTCCTCTGCCTGCTTTTATCCTAGCCACACCGGCAGCTGATTAGATGGTGCCCACCCAGATTGAGGGTGGGTCTGCCTTTCCCAGTCCACTGACTAATGTTAATCTCCTTTGGCAACCCCCTCACAGACACACCCAGGAGCAATATTTTACATTCTTCATTCCAATCGACACTCAATATTAACCATCACACTGAATAACAAATTACCACAAAACTAGCAGCTTTAAACAGCACAAACGCATTATTTTACCCCTTCTGTGAAGCAGGTTCTCTAATCAGGGTCTCACAAGGCTACAATGAAGATGTCAGCTGGACTGCCTTCTCATCTAGACACCCCATAATGGAATAATCCACATCTAAGCTCATATAGGGAGTTGGCCAAATTTATATCCTTGGAACTGCAAGGAAAAGCCCAGAATTTACGGGCTATAGTGTGTAGATCACCATTAGAGCCTAGAGGTTTCTCACACTGCCCGACATCATGGCCTTGTCCACAAGCAGTTAGCAACATGGCTGTTTTCTTCCTCAAGAGCAGAAAGAGGAGCTCCCACTGCAGTCCTCTAAGACACAGTCTTACATAACACAGCGTAATCAAGGAGGTGACATCCTATTATCTTTGCCTCTTCTATTTTTAGATAAGACTTGTTTAGAAACAAGTCTTAAGTTCTGTTGGTAATTACAGAAACTTAGGTAAAGAGATTATAGAAGAATGTAACTCACTGGGGATTAACTTAGTGTGTGTTTTTCACATAGGTGTGGAGGATGTTAGAATGAATAACAAATACATATTTCCACTATTTGTAAGTTGCTTTCTTGAAATCCAGTGTGACAGCAGACAACAACAAAGTGAACAAGACAAAAAATTAATTAGAAATATCAATGCATTGTAAAACAGAAATAAACAGGTTGCTAAGAAATAGAATTACGTGGGGAAATCTATTTCACATGGACTAATGTGCAGTAAGTAGCCTTTCAGAAGCCAGATAGTTTTCTGAGGATTTAACTCTGAAGGGTGTGAAGGAGCAAACCACGAGAAGAACAAGGAAGGGGAGAGAGAATTCTTCAAACAGAATAAATAGTATCATCCAAGGAGCAGGAAAAAAAGTGACTTGTTTAAGAAGCTGTAATAAGGCATGTGTAGCTTGAGTGTAGTAAAAGAAGGTGTGGATATGGAGAGACCAGTTATAGATTTTTAGACCTAGAAAGGAACTTACACTTTATTTGAAGATCAATGGATGTTCAGGTGGGGAAAAAGGGACATGATCTAATTTAAAATTGAATAATCTTACTCCACTGAGAAACAGTTAGAAGAATGGATGCGGGGCTGACCAGGTATGAGATTTTATTTCACCATCTCAGACAGAGGATGGTTAAGAGGTGACATCATGTTGGTGAGGCCAAGAGTGTTGACAGGAGGCACATTGAGGTGGATAAAGTTAAATATTTGGAGAATACATGGATTTGGTCTCAATCTAGAGATTGTAATACAAATAAATAAAAATATTGATATCTGTATCTCAATCTCAGAAGAGATATCTAGATGATGTTTGAAGCAATGAGAAAAGTTAGTATCTTGTAGGGAAAATCTGTATATAAAGAAGTGGCCCTAGCATTTTAATATTTAAATGCTCAATGGAGTATAGATAACATTGGCTCGTATGACTGGAGGAAAAAAAACAAGAAAATATGAAATTATGGTAGGCAAAGAGGGTGTTTTCCCACTGACAATATAAACCAAATGTGGCTACAGTAGCTGGAAGTTGCATAACATGAGGTGAGACAGTAAATGTGTTGCTTTATTCAGCCATATTTATGCCATTATTAACATTGAGAAGTGCAGAACTGGAAACTGAAGACTATTATTAATGCAATACATGTAAGCGAAGGAAGATTAAAGTTGATTGAAAACAGATTTGGACATGATGAATCGAGAACTACAGAATGATGTTTGATGATGAAGAAAAGCAAAGAGTAGAGGCATAGTTTAAGGGAAATGTTGAACTTATAAAAGGTGGTTTTGCACAATAAAATATGTAAGACATTTAGCATTGTGCCTGGCCCATATTAGTGATTTAATAAATGTAAAATCCTTTCTCGTTTTACTACTTACTTTATAAAATGATTATAACCAAGACACTAGACTGTTCTCTCTCTGTGGTGGAAGCTTTAGGTGGAAAAAATATCGTCTAGATGAAATGACTTGAAACAAACCTTTGTATCCAGAAATTAATCACTCTGCGGCATCGCTTCACGACACTAGCAATCAACTGCATTGCCTTGTCACCTCAATGAATTTTGGTTTACCAATTTCAAAACTACACAAATTATTAAGAGAACTGGC
Organism: Homo sapiens; assembly: GCF_000001405.40. Classification (NCBI taxonomy): domain Eukaryota; kingdom Metazoa; phylum Chordata; class Mammalia; order Primates; family Hominidae; genus Homo; species Homo sapiens. Next base: position 80,395,329 of record NC_000003.12, read on the forward strand.
AAAGAAATAACACTAAAAAGGCATCTTCCTACTACAACTTTCTTGTGATCTTCCCTCTCTCCCTTACCTATTTTACATGCATTTTATTCACACATGCTGTTGGAGAGGCATTCTTCTCATCCCAAGAGTTTCATTTCCAATTCTTTTTTACACTAACTCTGTAATCCTGGGAAAATCAATTAAATTTTCTCGACCTTAGTGCACTTATATGAAAGATATAGGGTGGTATCTGAATACTTTTTAAGTTGAAGTTTTTAATATATGATAGTTTTACATTTTGAAGTGTCTCCTTCTGGAAGAAACTCTTTAAAAGAAAGAAAACATAAAAAGCATAAATCAATTTTTTATACTTTCTTCACTGCTTTTGCGGTTTTATTATATATCAGAAGCAACACATTTACACTGAAAAATAAAATAAGTTGTGATGACATGAAAAGATTAATTCCAATTATATTTCATATTAGAAATTGTGGCTTAGTACTATTTTAATGTAGGTCAAAATGGACTTTTTCTTAGCCTACTGCTCATTCACCATCTGTCTATTTTCACTTCTGGATTTAACAAAAACACAAGTTATGCATGGGAGTGCACATCTGCAGTCACAGCTACTTGTGAGGCAGAGGCAGGACGATCGCTTTAGCCCAGGTTTTTGAGAGCAGTCTGGGCAATATAATGTGACCCCATCTCTAAACAAATAAATAAAAATAGACAAAGACACATTACTTGAACTTGATGAGACAAATTAAAACAATGAGTGCAGTGTTACAAGTAAGGCAAGCAATAAAATTGAAGAGAACTTTTAGTTTATTTCCCAATTAAATCAGTATTCAGCTCCTTACTATCATTTGAATACTTGTTAGTCTGTCTCACACTAGGTAAATTATTTAAATGAAGAAGCTGGAGTCTATGAACACAATTGGTATCAGAATATTTTAACAGATAAAATTGTAAATCGCCTAAGCGCGGTGGCTCACGTCTGTAATCCCAGCACTTTGGGAGGCTGAGGTGGGCGGATCATCTGACTGAGGTCAGGAGTTCGAGACCAGCCTGGCCAACATGGCGAAACCCCATCTGTATTAAAAATACAAAAATTAGCCAGGCATGATGCCACATGCCTGTAATCCCAGCTACTCAGGAGGCTGAAGAAGGAGAATCGCTTGAACTCAAGAGACGGAGATTGCAGTGAGCTGAGATTTCACCACTGCACTCCAGCCTGGGTGACAGAGCACAGAGCAAGACTCTGCCTTAAAAAAAAAAAAAAAAAAAGTATAGATGGACAGATAAAAGTACCAAAGAATATGTATAGAGAGATATAGACTAAAGGAGGTTTCTAAGGGTGCTGAGTTAATGCATCATCTAACCCATTTCCTGGAATTACTAACTTTCTTACAATTTAATATAACTCATGTATATATTCAATAAAAAGAAATTACTTCTAAAATCAGTTCTTATATAATGATGTATTTTGATTGGTTTAACCATATTATATGAGCTAAACTAACTAATATAATTTAATTGCTCTTCAACAAGAGATGAAGTTAATAATAATTAAAATAAATTTTCAGGATTATGCATACTATTTAGTAAAATAAAAACACATCTTTTATATAAAAACATTTTGTGTAGGTCAGTCTCTAAGCTTAACTTGAAATGCTATTATTTTAAGCAACTTACAATGGATGAGAGAATTAAATATTCACCATTTATCTTTTGTCCAACATAAAATTAATTAAATGAAAAGCATATCTACCTTGTTAATTCTCCTCGCCATTGTTACTGAAAGGAAAATTTTAAATTATGAATTGTCAAGTGAACATGTGAAAACTGAGGAAACCTCTTTAGAAACTGGAACCGCCAGAATTAATGCAATGGGGATAATCTATAAGTTCTAAATTTATTATTCTGACTTTAAAATATATATGTGTGTGTATATGCACTGTTGTAAGTGACATATACTAGCTTTAAGCAAACGTAAACTTATCAAATGTAATAATGTAGGGGCTAAGACATACCACATTAGCATAAATGTGATATACTTGAATGCATTAATTATCTAAATTTATCCTATTAACTTTATAAGCTATTGAAATTCATCATATGTATTGGATAAATGCCTAATATCTACTGTGTTATGTAAGTATATCTAGTAAAGGGAAATTTGACTAAAATTTGGAGTTTCTGTATTTTCCAGAATACATAGCACTAGTTTAAAATGGTTAGTTTTGAATGGGAGGATATAGAATCTTTTCAAATGTTATACATGTTAGCCCAAGCTGCACCATTTTGTAAACCCCTGCCATTTTGCAGACCCTGGTCAGAGTGCAAAATTACATTAAGGTTCGGGCCATGAGAAACACCCTGCCACACAAGTCCCAGGTCTAACCACCTGACTGAAGAAAACCCTTCCCTTATCAGCAGCTAGCCCGAATGCCTGCCCCATTTCACAACAAGCCCAGACCCCTCCCACTTGGACCTATAATTACCCCAGTCTGTAAGTGGGGGCGGGCTTCTGCACTAGCTGGTATCCCCCCACAGGCCTTTGTTCAGTAAGTATGTATTGCTGTTGAGCCACCAACTCTCTCTCTCCATCTTCCTTTCACCCTCAGCTTCCTTTTGAAACCTAATGATATACAGAATATCTACTTTTGCATTTGATATGTTATCATCTTAATGTAGTGAAAACAAACAAAATACAATAGCAACAATTTTTAAAAAATCCTTTAGAACTTCAATGTGAAAAATTTTATGGTGGCCTTAGTTCTTGATATTATCAAACAAACAGATATAGAAAATTCTCTTTACGTGCATTGTTTTTAATATAATCCATGTACCGAACTTACCTATAATGGATAAAAAGATGTTTACACTAAAAAATGGCCATATACAAAAGGCATTTGTCTAAAGATTTACAGTGAGTTTGTACAATGGAAAATTTCTTTTGCATTAATTATTATTAATGGAAGTTATCTGAGAATTAACACTGCATGCACAAGTAAAAAATAAACATGTTAAAATCACCCTAAAATGATCTACTTTCTGTAAGAATTTCAGCTATACATTTAGAAATTTAAGTTACTATTTTCCTTTAAAGTTCAGAATCATTACAGCTTGTTTTGCAAAATTTCCAAATTATTTATATCTGCCAATACCTAAGCTGAATGAAATATAGTACTAACACCAGTAGGATTATTAGGATTGCTAGAGGAATAGCATATTGTTTTTTCTACTGTTTGGCAAGGAAGAGAAAAAGATAAATTGTTCATAAACGATAAATACTAAGTTCCTTCATAAAGATTTCTCTGTGTCTTCCCAAGTTACTTCTCTTTTCTGAATAGTCAAAATATTAAAGGAAACTTGTTTCTATTTCACTTAGCACATTCAGTTACTTTTCTGGTTATTCATATACTTGATTTATCTATTATAAAAGATTGAATGTAAATATTGTCTGGGTGTATAATACTCTACATTATACTTCTTTGAAATTTTAGAACTCCCAGAATAGTTCATTAAATGTTTGACTCAATAACTTACTAAAGAAAAGAGAATGCCCAAAATTTGTATAAATTAACACAATTATATCATTTTGTTATATCACCCTTGGATGACTGGGCGCAATGCAGAAAGAACACTGAGCTATAACTTAAGAGAGGGCATATTCTGTTCCAAAATCTGTAATAATGTTTTAATCAAATTTGGGGTACTTAGAGAATGAAAACAGCTGTAGAGCAGATCTAGGCAGCATAACAAGCTGTTCTGCCAGGTCGCCCTTATGACCCACACATATCATGGTCCTCAAAGTGTCTGAGACATAGAGATGCTCTACAGCATCCCTCGCCATCTCCTTAGGACAATGCCAGTGAAGAGCCTATGTTGGGGATAAAAAATTATACTGTCTTCTGCAAACAACTATTTTCCTTTGAGAAACAGACCTTGATTGGCTGCAAGAATCTGAAACAGACTCAAAATGTAACCAACTGACCTTGTAATTTGAGCTACCTGTCATGATCCACCAAGCTATGCAAGTATATACAGCAGTACCTTATCCTTAAATAGAACAGGAATAAGCAAGATCAGACACTAGTATATTCTGCATGTACAAATAAATTGCAGGAACCAGTGACTGATTCCCATAGTGAATATTCTTCCTGTAATACAAACTTTCTTTCAAATTGCCAGACATTTGAGAGTTACTACTTTAACTAGCTGGCTGAGGGAGAAAATGCTTTGGCCTGATTTATTGATAATTCTGCACATTATGGTGGCACTAGCCAAAAGTGCATATGCGGTGGCATTATATTCTTACTGCAGTGGCCCTCAAAAAAATAGTGTAGAACAAAAATCATCGCAGTGGGCAAAATTGCCTAAGCAATGGATATGATTATCCATTTTATGATTGTGGAGATAGTTATATATATATACATATATATATATATGGATTAAAGGGAAATATCCAACAATTTTGCCAGATAGTCAAGGACTGAAAAAAGGAAGCTTGGAAGATTGATAACAAAATTCTGATAGAAATATGGATGGACCTCTGGAAGGGGGCACGAAGTCTGAGGCTTCTGTGTCCATAAAAGTGCCCATCAAATAAACCCACTACAGAGAAGGGTCTCAATAATGACATGGGCTTCTTGTCCATTTACTCTCTTGGGTCTTTCATCAGGCACCACGGTGTCTGTTCAATGAATCCATGTAAAAATTAGTTAGGGTGGCAGAGGTAGTGTTTATGTACAGCCTACAATATGGCCCCTTAACAGAGCTGATTTGGTTTTCTGAAATGTTGAGTACGAAAACCACTGACAGCAGAGGCTGTTACTGAGCCATGTCTATGGTGCCATTACCTGGAGAAAAAGTTATATGGTAAGCTGATTACAATGGAAGACTTTTTATCAAGGAAAGGGCATCAGGGGATCCTCAACTTAATAAACAGCAATTCGGGATATGAATTTGCCTTTCTTTCATGCAATGTTTCTTTTTTTGTTATCAGTGAATTAATTAAATTTGTTATTCATAATCACAGTCAGAAAAATTACATTTCTTCTTACTAAATAATTTATTTTATAGCCAGAAGTGCATTAGAAAATTACAACCTGCAGAATATTTGGTCTTATCATGTGCTCTATCAAAAGGAGCTGGCAGACCTTCTTATGGGTAGGGTCTCACCCTACAGTAAGTTTATTTATTTATTATTTTTCTTTATATTGCTCTTTCACCCAAGCCAGAATACACTGGCCCAGGAGATAATAGTATTTAGTGGGATGGATTTTTCTCTCTATTATTCCAAATTTCTACAAGTTTGAGTTTTGAACACTTGTTTCCCTGGACTGCAAGTTAAGACTGCTACTGGCCATTTAAGTCTCTTCACCCCATTGAAACTCCAGATAAATGAAATAAGTACTGGAGCAACTGATTCTGATTAGCAAGGGAAAATTGGGTTGTTCCTACCTAAGACAACAGGGAGGCCCCTATGTAATTCGTAGAATTACCTGAGAGTTTCTCTTAAAACATTGTTTCAATAGATGACAACTAGATAATGTGAGGGTCACTAACCATTCAAATTCTTCACCTATGAGGTGAAGAAACTCAAATGGCTGAAGCGCTGGCTGAAGCAAAAAGGTACATGGTCAGTGGAGATATTAATGCATATCAATTAAGTTCTCATGATCTGTTACAGCAACGATGATATAAACATATATGCATGTTTTTTTCTTGTGAATTATATATTTGTATATAACCATTTCATGCCTCTTATTTTCTATTGGGAATGCTGTTTGTGGCTAACTTTAGAATGTCATCTCTAGGTTACAGATTTTCTAAGTAGTATTAAAACCTAACGAAACAACAACCAACAGAGATAAATAGAGCAAAAATATGTTAAAAAATAAGTATGGAATTTTGTGTTCATCTTTTGTGGGCAGATGGTGAATATCTTTGTATGAAGAATAGTTGCATCACATTCGGCAGAAGCATGAAGCTGCTGCGGGGGGGTGGGGGGGTGGTGCACGTAGAGATGCGAACGTTTCAATGCATATAAAAGGGTATGTATGAACGCTAGGCGGCCAAACATGGCCAGTACACCCTAAGGCAGCTATACATCTATTGCCCCTAAGTCCTACTCATCTACCCTTTTTTACCCTCCTCTGTATTGGTGAGGCAGTGTGCCGAAACTTTTCTCAGACTTCCTAAATATTTCTGCTAATGATCGGAAGGTTAGAAGAAAAAAGAATAAAGAGGCAATTCTGCTTTTGTTCCAAAAGTGGTGAAGTTACTAATAGTTGCTTTGGCAGAGCAATCGTCAACATAGTGTGCCTGTTCCACATACAGCAGTTTTATCTTTTCTTCAACTGTTCTAGACTTAGCTGCTACATTATTTTCATGGTGATACAGGAGACAGAAAGAAATTATTTAGGCAGATAGTAAAGGCAAAAGAGTCCCCAGCAGAGCTTCACTTCTGACAACATGCAGACCTCCAAATCATTTCTTTCCTAAACAGCAGCCTGAAAAATTGAGCTGCACACATAGGTAAGCAAGCTAGGAGCTTGCACGGAGGATTGTCGGCAGCTATGCCAATAAAAAATGACTACCGGCCGGGCGTGGTGGCTCACGCCTGTAATCCCAGCACTTTGGGAGCTCGAGGAGGGAGGATCACCTCAGATCAGGAGTTCTAGACCAGCCTGACCAACATGCTGAAGCCCTGTCTCTACTAAAAATACAAAAAAATTAGCCCGACGTGGTGGTGTGCGCCTGTAATCCCAGCTATTCGCGAGGCTGAGAGGGAGAATCGCTGGAACCCAGGAGGCGGAGGTTGCAGGGAGCCGAGATAGCGCCACTGCGCTCCAGCCTGGGCAACAAGAGCGAAACTCAGTCTAGGAAAAGAAAAAAAAAAATGGCTACCTGGGGGTCAGGGGTCAGGCATATCCAACAATCCAACATGGAGGCTCCATTTCCCGTTTTTTGTTATCACGTGTACAGGACCGAAGAAATGGCCAACATGGAGCAGCTCAGGCAGAGAACCTGCCTGCACGCCTGCAAAATTAAAAAAAAAAAAAGATTAGGATGAGGGATACCAGAGATTTGCGCCCTATGCAAATGGTACACCTGGTTCAACCAGTCTTTTACACCCTATGTAAATAAGACACTGCCTCCTCACCAGCTCATCTGTAAAACCCAGTTCATTTCACCATGAATCCGTCAACATATTTTCCTGGCACCCCTCTCTGCCGCATAGAGCTATTCTCTTTCTAATTTAATTAGAATGTTTAATTTAGTTTAATTTCGCCTATTAAACTTTTGCTTTCAACATCACTCTTTGTGTGTATATGTCCTTGTTCTTTGTGGCCATGAGACAATGAACCTCAGGTGTTTCTCCAGACAATGAGGCCATTTCAGTGGCAGTGCCAGCATCCCACAGAAGTGCAGAAGGTGTTAATTAGGGGTTTCTGAACAGAAAAAAGTATTAGTAGATTATTGATCCTGTGTTAAAAGCATGTTTCGTTTATTTTTATTTAATATGTTAGAGTATATTCTCACCCCTTCAGCTATTATAAAATCTTTGGCACAATTTCCTGCATTAAATTGTCTACATTCGGGGAATTATGGAGTAGTGAATATGCTAAGAGAGAAAAAATATTGAGCTATTGTTATTGGGAAGGTCTGCACTGTTTTTCTAAGCCTATACCAATATAACAAATTGTCCTAATCAAACTTGTCTCTAAACCATTGCTCAGTATTTTCAACCATAAAATCTGGGAATACACTAGCTATCTTTAAAAGTTGATCTTAACTTAAAAACCCTACAAATCCATTGTTATGTTTTCTAAATATACTTTGAATAAGTTACCACTTTTTAGGCCTTAACAAGACAAAGAAGAACTAAATATTTATCTATTACGGACTGAATATATATTAACATATCCTTGACAAATTAATATTTTGAAACTCTAACCCCCAAAGTGTTGGAATTAGGAAATGGGTAGGAAATGGGGCCTTTGAGAGAGAACTAGGTCATGGAGGCAGAACTCTCATTAATGACTTTAGTGTCCTTGTCAAAGAGACCCCAGAAAGCTCTCTCTACCCTTCATCATGTGAAACAAGAAGAAGTCAGTAGTCTGCAACCCAGAAGACGACCCTCACCAGTGCAACCATGCTGGCACCTTAATCCCAGAATTCCATCCCTGGAATTGTGAGAAATAAATTTCCATATATATAAATGTTATGGTTAATTTTATGCATCAGCTTGACTGGAATAAGGGATGGCCAGATACCTGGTAAAATATTATTTCTGCTTGTGTCTATAGGATGTTTCTGGAAGAGATTAAGATCTGAATTAGTAGACTGAGTAAAGAAGATCACTCTCACCAATGGGGATAGGGTTATCAAATCAATTGAGGGCCTGGATAACAAAAAAAAGTCAGATGAATGGCTACTTCTCTCTCTCTCTCTCAATGTCTCTCTCTCTCTCTGCCTCTCTCTCTCCCTCTCTCCCCTTAGGGTGGAACGTCTTTCTTATCCTGCCCTTGGACATGGGGGCTCCTGGTTCTCAGACTTTGGGCTCAAACCACATTACACCACAAGCTTTCCTGTGTCTCAAGTTTGCAGATAGTGTATCTTGGGACTTATTGGCCTCTCTATGAGCCAGTTACCATAATAAATTTCCATATATGTATAAATACATATATGTGTGTGTGTGTATATATATATATGTATATACATATGTACATATATATATATATATATATATATATATATGTCTCCTGTTGACTCTGTTTTTCTGGAGAGCGCTAATACAATAAACCACCCACTTTTTGGTATTTTATTATGAAAACCGAAATTGATTAACATAGTATCCCTGATCACATGTATAAATAGATACAAATTTTCTGTTGTTCAAACATCTGTCTTAGATTAAGTGTATCAAATGTATCTAATTTGGTATTTAGGTTCTGACATACCAATCTTTCCAACAAATGTTCACCTTAAGAGAAATTTTAGAGATAAATAAATAAATGTAACTCATTTTAAAAACAGAGTTCAGCACCAGTACTTCACTAAAAGAATAAATAACAAGTCTGAAAAAAATATTTTTCATAAATCATTTATAGTTTCTCTAGAATATTATAAAGCATAAAAAAACTAAAGCACAGAAAGGTAAATGAAGCCACTCTTCCAGTACAAAAATTATATTCACCACAATTTAATCTTACCAGACTTCATATGTGTACTGGAGGACTTACAGTAGTTTATGCAAATCTTTCCAATACAAGTTACTGAAATTAATAATTAAGTGGGGTATCAGAAGAAAAGTAGCACAAGCAAAAAATCAAGCAATGTTCTTTATTGTAGGCGTCTTATAAACAGTAACATTACACTGGAGGATTTAAAAATTACTGCATAGTTGGACCCTAGAACTGAGACTACAGATTATTGTACTGAGGGTCATAGACTGGTGACATTGAAAATTGCTTATATTAGTTCATATCATACAAATGCGTTTGGGCATATTGTAGTTTCATTAAGTAAAGAAGGCACAAATTTGAAAATCATGTTTTTCAAATACAAAAATTGTTTTCAATAGTACATCTCAATTTCTTCAGGAATTAGGGACAAATAATTAAGGTAATTGAGTATTTCTGGCTCAATGAGTAGGGGAAGGATTGGCATACAGGCTTCTAGCCAATCACTAAACTTGATTGAACATCTAGAATATCTATAGCACTGCTGTAGATGCTGGAGGACTCCAAGCCATTCATAGCAAAATCATCTCTCTCTCGTTTTTGTTTTTGTTTTTTTTTTTTTTTTGAGACAGGTCCTTTCTTTGCCACTCATGCTAGAGTGAAGCAGCATGAACATGGCTCACTGCTGCCTTGACCTCCCAGGCTTATGTGATCCCCCAGCCTCAGCCTCCCAAGTAGCTGGGACTACAGGCATGCACCTCCATGCCTGGCTAATTTTGGTATCTTTTATGGAAACAGGGGTTTCACCATATTGTGTATGTTGATCTCAAACTCCTGAGCTCAAGTGATCTGCCCTCCTTGGCCTTCCAAAGTACTATGACTATAGGTGTGAGCCACTCCACCCAGCCACAAAGTCAATTGAAATCAATATTCAGCATGAAACAAAAGACAGGGTGATAATCCTCAAACTTTAATAATATATAAATAAATACATTCTAACGAAAAGAAGTTCTCGTGAATTACTCTTACCTCTTTGCGCCAAGAGTTTTTAAGAACAATCTTATTTCCTTCTAGCTTATATTGTTCTTCCTTCCCACTGATCCCATAAGTTACTAAGTTTCTCTCTAAGACTGACAGAAGTATTACAGTTGGGATTGCATTACTATCTTCCATATTTGTTAAATAAAATCGTTCTAAAAATGAAAGAAAAAGCTTTCAATGTTTCACTATTGCCTGTCACATACCGTTCACACTGGCCTGTCATCGCTAAAAGGTTGTGCTCAGCTTGGCCCCCATCTGCCTTTTTTAGTCTCATTCTAACCACACACCTCTCACTGTATAATGTAACCTCATGGAACCTCATGTTCATTATCCAAATACACTATGTACTGTCAGTCTCAGATCCATGCTCACATCGTCATGTTGCTTGGACTGCCTAGAATTGCTAAATCCGTCTTCTCATCCATGCCCCAAACTGGAAATCCAGATCAATTCTAGCCTCTTAAAGAAAAATATCTGATCTTTTTAGCAGAAAATTACTCCTTCCTTTGTGATTCTATAGCACATTATTTCTATCTAGTACTAATTGTAAAAAAAAAATTAAAAAAAGAGAGTGACTGAGATGATGTACATGCATCTGAATCAGGGATTGTTCTTTATTCATAAAGTTATTCTCAGTGTTTGTATACAACATGGGGGGCTGAATTAATGAATTGATTTTTGATTAACTGTAAGTATTATGTTCCAATAATACATATTATAACAAAATGCTCCCATATAATCATGTGGCCCGAGCATGGATAAATATCATTGTAACCGTAGAGCAAAGGTGTTTTTAAGAGGATTAGGAGCTTGCACAAATTACATAATCTTTTTAATCCTCAATTATTCTAATTGTAAAATGAGTATAACTTAATCCATCAATTTGCAGTGAGGATAAAGTGAGCAAATTTGCACATGATTCTAAACAATTATTCTTCTGTATAATAATTTCTCAGTAAATATTAGACATAAGGGCAATTAATACAATTATTACATTTATCAGCAATATTTTTTTTATTTAGTACATGAATCCTGGAGTCACCTGTCTAGATGAAAGCCCACTCTATCCCTTACCAATCAAACAAACTTGATCAAAATCACTTGGTTCCAGATCTTCATCTCTAGGACAGCATAAGAGTACCAATTTCATTAGGTGTTTGAGACAACTAGTACACACAATATGCTTAGATAGTGCCTACAAACAATAACTACCAAATGATTAGTAATTAGTTCTTCTTATTAATGAAGTAAATTACAAAAAGATTATGGTATAATCTACTATCCTTACTGCATAAAAGATTTTTACAATAATATCATGGCACCTATTATGAATATGAACTAAACATTAGCAATTAATAGTATTCATTTATTTCAAAAATAAATGCATTATGCCAATATGGCTTTAAATTTTGGAAATATAATCACCCATGCAGAGGCATTGTATCAACATTTATTAGAACTTAGATTAAAGAAAAAACTTGGGGCAGGGATAACAACCAGGAATGTGATCCCCAAAGTGATTCTTGTAGAGTAGATATTCATATTCACACACATGGACACACACACACACACACACACACACACACACTATGATCATGATGTTGATTATATTTTGAATTTTCTGCAGATAGTGAGTGTGATATGTTTGTTATGAAGGCAGCCAGCTCATATTCATTCAACATCTCAAATAAGGGAAGCTGAATTGGCAGTTTCCTGTTTCCTGAGTGTATCAATCAGTATCATACAACCACTCTAAGTAGAGTCTTTACGAGGTATGTATCAGTTCCTTTAATTTGATTTTTCTTTTACTGGAAAATTTGCAAAAAGTCTTTTGAAGGCATATTTCATCATGAAAGTGGATTTGCTATATTCCCAAAAGTGCCCTAATATTGGTACAGTTAAAGCATAAAACTTAGTTATTCCTGATGGCTAAAAAACACAAAAGAAACAAAAGGAAGAGACAGAGATGTAGAGACAGAGTAAGAGACAGAAAGAGATGGAGATCATTTCAGAATTTCAGATATGGAGAGATTAATAGGTCATATATTTCTCCATTATTTTCTTCCTGGTCAGTTCTACAGTTGGGCTTAGTGATAAAGATTCCAACATGCTAGCATACCTTCTCTAAAGTAGCATCATCACTGTGTAAGTGTACCCGGATGACTACTGGGAATTCAGCAGAAACATCATTCATTGAAATTTCTGAAAAGTAGAGTGTACTCATATGTAAATGTCTTCAGACACAATGTTAAACATTTAGCTGTTTTTTAGATTAATATAATAGTAAGTACAATGATTACTTAGACATCCTAATAGTAACTTTAGAATATGGCATTCACTTTGAATATGAACTACTTGTGAGATTATTAGGGTAAAGGCACACAAGTGTTCTTTCTAAGGATACAATGTGTGGCATCTGACCAGAACTATTATTATTTCTTATGTGACAAGCACGAAATAGAAACAATCACTATAAAACAAATGGGCTATGCTTTTTTTTCCAAATTAGAACCTAAATAATCAACACTGAGTTTTAATTTCTTCTGCTCTTTTATTTTTCATATTTTTAAAAATTTATTTTAAAATGTATACATTATAGTGTGATGATTTGAATATTTAAGTATCAGCTGGAATCAATGGCAGCAAGAATTAAGTCCCTTGCTGGGAGGCCTGTGAAAGTCATGCATGATTAAAGCTGCTAAGATCAACAGGGTGCCTTACACGCTATAAATCAATTTTATATTCAATTTTATTCACCTACGTGAACGTGAGTGTTTTCATTCCTACTTACAATATACCTATTAATAGTATGTCTGTTCTCCAAAATGTGAAAAGTGAAGTCTAGTAATGTTAGTAGAATTTGAGATAAAACAGTAAATACTTCACATCCTACCTGGAGACGTGTTCTTTTAAGAGTACCAAGGCATCTGAAGACATATGGTATAATTCACCCTAAGGGTCCTTTCCCCTGTCACTTACACAGCATGTAACCTCTGCTTCACACGAAGGAAGTGAATTATGTGCAGCATGGCTAGGAAAGACAGGATGAATGAAAATGGCATTTCTGCCTTCAAACCTGGCATGGCTCTCCAACAGATCATCAACTCTGTCCAAAACGATGTCTGCGTATACAGCTTTACAAAGGAGGAAGCTCCAGCCTGGGCAACAGAGTGAGACTCCATCTCAAAAAGAATGAAAAAGAAAGAAAAAAACCAGGCAGACTATGCATAGAAATAAGTCAACTGAAAAGAAAAGCTACAAACTAATCGTTTTCTTTAATTTCATTAAAATATCTATGTCCCTGTTTGAACGCCCCAAATCAGGAGCTCTTGTATGTGGTGTACACATAGAAACTCACTTAATAACGACTGACTAATAACAGAAAATTGTGGCAAATAATGCAATGGTTTTCTTAATTACTTAAAAAAAAGTTTTGTTTTGACAGATTTATAAGAAGAGGCAAAAACATCATAGGGAGGAACTGTGTACCTGTCATCCCTCTTCCCCTGATGAAACCACCTCTCATATCTACAGTATGTTATCAAAATCAGAAAATTGGTAAATAACCTTTTAAAAGACATTATGATTACAAAGATAATTAAAAAGTTACAATTTTAGGCTTGATTTCATATTATTATTAATTAGTTAATCCATTTGTGTTTTTATTTTTCAGCACTTTTTAAGCCATTTTGAAGATATAAAGAATAAATACGCTATTTTACTGAGGTGTTATTTACATAATTATAAGCATCTAGGACTATGAAGTAAATTTCTCTTTGTTTGCTTATATGAGTTTGTTTTGCATTTGTTGAAAATATGAAGGTTTAAATTTCCATGTGATAAGTGTAAATAACATACTTTCTATTAATGTTTTTTCACATTTACATAATTACCACTTTCACAAAGCTTAGATGATACTGCAAAAAAACCCAAATCTTGTGTTTTTTTATATATATAAGTAAGGATTACTTGCATAATAGAAACAGTAATATTTTCAGTATGTGTGTAAGCATTTATCAAATTATTATTCCAATAAGACAGTGAAAATATGAGAGTTCTGCTCATAAAAATATGCTAATTCCTATATTCATTTATAAGGCAATTATTTGAAGTTTATAATGCATTTTGCTTCTAGGACAAAATATCAGATATGAGGAACAATTTCTTAGGTTCATCTATCAAAGACTATTTAATGTATCATGACCCCAATGTAATTCACATTAGCAATGAAGCATAGTAGGAAAATACTGTTGTAAAACAAGTAATTAAATGAAACAAATACAAGTTAATAAGCAAAACATAATAACAAATGAATGCTGATTCTCTGAAGAAAGATAACATAATTAGGAAAAGTGACTTTATTGAAGTTTTTGAAAATAATTCTTAAACACTGTAAGTGATATATACATTGATGGCCCTGAAGTTTGATAATGCCTTATCTCATTTATTAATTTTTAGATTTGATACATTAGATTATTTCTATTATATGTAAACCATAATTAATGTCATTTGGCTCAATTTACAATGTAAAGAAAGAGTCAGAACAAAAATGATTTGATTGAGATAAATAGGATAAAGAGAAAAAAATTACAGATTTTAAGATGCTATAGGTTTGGCCAGGTATGGTGGCTCAAGCCTGTAAACCCAGTACTTTGGGAGGCCAAGGCAGGCAGATCACCTGAGGTCAGAAGTTTGAGACCAGTGTGGCCAACATGGTGAAACACTGTCTCTACTAAAAATACAAAAAAATTAGCCGGATGTGGTAGTATACGCCATAACCCCAGCTACTCAGGAGGCTGAGGCAGGAGAATTGCTTGAACCTGGAAGACGGAGGATTCAGTGAGCCAAGATTGTGCCACTGCACTCCAGCCTGGGTGATACAGCTAGACTCCATCTCAAAAACAAACAAACAAACAAACAAACAAAAAGTCTGGATGCCGTGGCTCACACCTGTAATCCCAACACTTTGGGAGGCCGAAGCGGACAGATCACCTGAGGTCAGGAGTTCAAGACCAGCCTGACCAATATGATGAAAACCTGTCTACTAGAAAAACAAAAATTAGCTGGGCATGGTGGCACGCACCTGTAATCCCAGTTACTCGAGAGTCTCAGACAGGAGAATAGCTTGAACATGGGAAGGGGAGGTTGTAGTGACCCGAGATCACGCCATTGCACTCCAGCCTGGGCAACAAGAGGGAAACTCGAAAAAAATAAAATAAATGCTATAGGTTTATATCTCAAGAACAGAAAATATGACATCCCAAGTTGACATTAATTAAGGTATACATAAAAGAGAATTACGTGTTTCAAGTAATTATTGGCAAAGCAATATTACTTATTCTGAAATAATTTGCTTAATCATTAGAGTGGGTCAATTCATTCATTCAATACACATTAAATAATATGCAGCTATTTTTTAGTATCTGTTTTGGTTTTATGGCATCATTCAAATAAAATATTATTATTGCTAAATTAAAGGAAATTTAACTATGTACACAAATACCTTCACAGCAATAACACACATGATTTTTTTTTGAAAAATATAAAACAGGTCAATACATTTCAAAAAGGAGCAATATATTAAATTTGTCTGGAGCAGAATAAAGAAAATCATCTTAAAGAAAGCAATATACAATTTTGACTTAAAGTAGGTGCTTTGGTTTGTTTTTGCTGTTATAAAAAATATCTGAGACTGGGAAATTTATAAAGAACATAAATTTATTTTTTCACAGGTCTGGAGGCCAGAAAGTCTAAGATCAAAGCTCTGGCAGATATGGTGGTTTGGTGAGGACCACTCTCTGTTTCCAAGATGGTATCCTATTGTTTTGTCCTCTGGAGGGAGGAAGCTGTGTCCTCATGTGGTGGAAGTCAGATGGGCAAGAAAGAAGAACGCTGACTGAAGCCTCTTTTATAAGGTCCTTAATGCCATTCATGAGAGAGGAGTTCTTATGGCCTAATCACCTCTTAAAGTCCTCATCTGTTAATATTATCACATTTGTGACACCTGAATTTTGGAGGGGACACATTAAAACCATAGCATTAGGATGCCAATGAGCAGAAGTATATATCAATTTATAGAGAATATAGAATTAATTTGAAAATGGATGAAAATGAAAAGATGGGCCACAGCTTTATTATAAAGGAATACTAATTCTAAACGAACTACTATGAACACTTTTAGTTGGGTGCTAGATAATGATTTGCACATTTTTAATTGGTAGAGACATGATTAGAATCAGATCAACAGTGTATAAAATGGATTTGCAATGGTTTGAGGTAAAGGATGATTTCTATAGATACAATAAGTACCATAATTTATACGATAAGAACCAGAGGGATGATTTTCAAATGGAAGCAAATGAACAGGGATTAGAAACAAAGAAAGACAAAAAGGTGTGTGATGTGTACAATTTCCAAGGAAGAGGATAAGTGAGTTAAACTTGATCTCTGGTCCAAGGACCTTAGAAGATTCTGGCATTGAAAAATACATAAAAGCTAGGATATCAGTTTCTGTGTTGAGCTTAAAATGTTTATGATGATTACAGCTGAACTGTTAAGAGGGAGAGATGAGGACTAATGTAGAGTGTTGTAATTAGAGATTTTCTTAAGGAATGGGGACTTATTTAAGTTACTACAACTTATGTGGTTTTAATATAAAGACTTGCATCCAAATGAACATGTAAGAAAATTCCATTAAGCAAGACTTTGCAGAACAATTACTAAAAGGCCATTGCAGATTCCAGGCATCTCTAGGAACTTCAACAGGGGTCCAAGTGCAATCTTGTCCAATCAGCTGTGGCTTGGAGGAAGAGTGTACCATGCTCTTTTGAAGATGTTCTTCTAGGACTTTTGCGGTTTTCTCTGAGTGGGATAGTGGACCACAGAATGGCCTGAAATAGTTGATGGGATTTGGTAGAGAGGATTCTACATATAAAAGGACTAAAAAATCTATTCATCTTTATCCTGGGTACACATCTCAGCTATGTTTTCTTGCTTCCTCTGCAGTTAGAGAGATATTTCTAATTAAATTTAGAGCAATGGAATTTGCATTATAAAGATGTTTGTCATTTCTTGTCCGTAATACTTAAACATCTTCAAAGATCTTCCTTAATTTCTCTCCCCTTCATCAGTTGGCATGATAACATCAGGGGAATCTTAAAGCCATGTGTTGAAGACGGCAAGAAAGTAATCCAAGGAATCCGTATCACTGAATAATCACTCATGTTAAAGTCACTGGGCCTGGGTAGTATATTAACCTTTTCTTTGCATGTAGAGAAACTTTTTTTTTTAGTGTAAACAGTCATTACGATTTGGAGATTTGGTATAGCAGATAGTGATAATTAACCTATAACACACATAGTATAGTGTCTTTCGAACTTAAGTTACATAGCAAATAACTGTTTAAGGAGAAAAATTGCCTACTCTAAATAGAAAAGTTTATTTTGATTAAACTAGTTAGTGCTGTTTGTTTCTAAAATATCATCTAATTATGAAGCAAATGTATTAAACTCTATGTACAATAAAATTATACTGTACATAAATGCCCATATTTGGAATGACTTTTTTGTCTGAAACCCAATCCATTTGATGCTTTAAATCACATTGAGCCAGAAATTTCAGACAGTTTTAACTGTCTTCAGACAGTTAAAATTTAGAATTCTCACAAAGGGTTTTCTAGTTCCCAAATCATGCCTGAAATTTTTTGGTTTTGCACTAAGGCCTCTCCCTGAATCTGGTCACTTCCTTTCCCATAACTCAGGGAAAGAATGTCACCACTTATCTATAGTTGAACTTCTGAATTCTATTGTGTCTGCCTACTTAAGGCAAAATAGAGACATTTTCCTTTTAGATTTCCCAGGTCAAATGACAGAGATAACAAAGAAAGTCTCCCAAACCTTAATTACATTAGACTTTGGGATAAGAGAATGTCTAAAGATCACGGACGTCCTCTGATCTCAGTTTAAGAAATCCTATTGTAATAAATCAAGAGTCCTGAGGAAAAACTGAGTGAGACATTCTGTTTTGATGCTTTATCTAATATGCTTTTGAACTGCTATTCCCCTTCATGGGCTTTTACTTTGATTTTAACTACTCTATTGAGACCCAGTTTATATTCCGTAAGATTCATCTACTTTCATTGTATATTTCAATAATTTTAAGTAATTTATCAAGTTGTACAACCATCACCATTATCCAGGTTCAGAAAATTTTATCACTGCAATAGATCCTTTAAAATCAATCTTCCTTTGATCACACTTTTGATTCTGACTACTTGTTGGGGGAAAATGATCAATTTATATTAAAGGTTTGAAAATATTTATGTGGTAGATTTTACTATACATGACCTTTAGGTAAACATTGCTCTCATAGAGATACATTTTATTTCTGATCGATTTAATTTCTGCCAATGCAGAGCCTAATTCAAGGACTTGAGTACAGATATGCTCTTTGGATAATGGCAACCTAAAGAAGAAAATAAAAGGGAAAATAAGGGAAAGCTAGGAAAGTGTATGTTGTTGAACTGGTCATTCTATAGCAAATGGGGTTTAGTACCTGTGGCACTTTCTGAGAAACCCTACATAATGTGCTTCAGGATTATGTCTTTGAGGGCTAGGAAATAGGAGAATTTAGTTAGTAATGAATCTTTCCTTATTGGTTGAATGTTGTTCCCAGACATGGGGTATAACCCTGAAAAAAAAAATGGTGATGTGCAGAGATGAGATGTGTTCTTGGAAGCCGTTTGTGATTTCAGAAATACCAGTAGGCTGTAATGAGATTCACGCTGATAAAGTATGATAGAAAGCATTAATATATCTTGTAGATTCAGGTGTTTTATAATGAAACAAACAGTCAAATGTAATCTTATTAATTTATTTGAAGAGTTTAAATGATCTGAGTTCTAGAGATAATTCCTAGAAAACAACAATGAGGATTGGGTGATGTGATTTTTAAAACCACTCTATAAGAAATTGAATTTGCATAAGAACCTACACTGTTCCTACTGGATGATGATCCATGCATTGCCAAACTGTAACATTTCTTGTTGCACCATGCTTTAGTCTGACATTGATACACTGGATTACAAGACTTGTGAGTATCACAGAATTAACGGGAGGGACTGTGGTGGAAGATGTTGTTGCCGACCCAGATCCCTTTTACCAGCATTTTCACCCGATTTACAGCTGCTGTGAGTGTTACTCCCATATCTCAAGAATTACCCATAATTAGGTAAATGTAACTCTGGCCCTCTTTTCCCAAGATCTGACTAACTCTGAAAGATTTTTGCTCCAGAGCTTTCCCTGTGAGATCAGCTAGAGCTTAGTATTCAGCTGAGACCACATTTTTGCTTAGCTTTTCCCTCTACTTGTTTCCTTCAAATACCCTTTCGAAAGGACAGTGCCTCTAATAAATCACTTGAATTTGATTCCCAACCTCAGGCTTTGCTTTTAGGAAACACAATCAAAGAGAGACATCAGGGCTTGCGCAGAGACATGTAACCTGTGCAGGCTGACAGGACCTTGTTCTTGGTTTGATGTTCTGCTTTTGCTTTGTTAAAATTCCTAATTTTTGAGCAAAAAGTATCTCATTTTCATTTTGCACTTGGTCCTGCTTACATCAAAGTCTAAAATCTTAAAAAATACTATACAGATCTACACATGTAATGAATCAAGTTGTCAGCTGAGAGTTAGCAGCATTGGATTCTTTTTAACTTAGTTGATATTAGTAAAAAAAAAAACAGCTTGAAACAAGCAGTATGCATAAGGAGAACACACGAATCACATAGATATAAAATATATATTAGGGCATGTATTAGTCAGGGTTATCCAGAAGGACAGAATTAATAGCAGATATATATATATGAAGGGGAGTTTATTAGGAAGTATTGACGCATATGATCACAAGACGAAGTCCCACGACAGGCCGTCTGCAAGCTGAGGAGCAAGGAAGCCAGTGGTGGATCAGTCTCAGACCCAAAACCTCAAAAGTAGGGAACCTGACAGTACAGCCTTCAGTCTGTGGCCAAAGGCCCAAGAGCCCCTGGCAAAGCACTGGTGTAGGTCCAAAAGTCCAAAAGCTGAAGACCTTGGAGTCTGATGTTGGAGAGCAGGAAGCATCCAGCACAGGGGAAAGACGGAGGCTGGAAGACTTTGCCAGTCTAGTCTGTCCACATTCCTCTGCCTGCTTTTATTCTACCCACACTGGCAGATGGTTAGATGGTGCCCACCCAGACTGAGGGTGGGCCTGCCTTTCCCACTCCACTGACTCAAGTGTACATCTCTTTTGGCAATACCTTCACAGACACCTAAAGGAACAATACTTTGCATCCTTCAATCCAATCAAGTTGATACTCAATATTAACCATCACAGAGCACCTAAAAATTCCAAAGAAACTCTGTGAATCAGCAAGGGTCAAGTCTTACATGGATGGCTTCATTTTCCCAGCTCAGTAGAGACATCCAAGTTATAGAAACTCTAAGGAGGAAGAGGCCATAATTGGAAAGTTTGGTTGCTTCCTACCATTTACGCGAAGATGGCTGTGTATTCCTTGTTATTTAATGGAGCCTTTTCCAGCTCAGGGTACGTTCCACAAAAGGAAAGTCAAGCTTTTTTAAAGGCTGCAACCAGAGCTGAATTAACATAGATCTTCCTGGAAGAAAATAATCAACCTTCGGTAGAGGATGAGAACTTTAACAAGAAAATAAAATTAACAAACACAAACTCAGAGAGCTTTGGAGAAGGGCACACTCACTGTGCATACATTGCATTGCATTTGAGAGTTAGCATCTCAGGATACTCAGTTAAAAATAGTTAGCATGGCTTTCCCCCACTTTCTTGGAGATGTGTGCAGGGAGGAAAGAAGCACTCTTACTGAGTAAGAAAACAGATTCACAGATCTACAGGATGACAAGAGGAGAAACGTAGGCCAATTATATTTTGATTGATAAACTCTGCTGAATTGCCCTTATTTTATCTCTCACTTTCCAATAGTCCTGGGAGCTAAAGTATATCTTTAGTTTTTCAGGTGTGTGTATGTGTAGAAGGAAAACATTTGAGGATGCAGAGAGGTAAATCATCACTTTGAAGAAACAAAAGAAGTGTACATAATATTATTAAATATAACTGTTTAAATTTTCTTTCTAAAATAGAAACTATAGTTCATATCATCAAATGATCAAAGTTGAGTAAGATAGAAGCAAAAAAGAAGCTGTAGAATCTCCATTTAATTAGAAGAGAGTGTCTGATCCCTGGACACTCACCAGGGAACTGAACCTTGAACTTCCTTTTCTCCAGTTTCTCTCCAAAGCCTGACTGTAAGTCATTAATATTTGAAAAAGACAGGCTAAGGATCATACTGGTCATTCATATAAAACTAACCCATGTGTCAAAAGTTTAAGATTCTCTTGTTTAATGGCAAGGGTATGATGGTTTTACCACCTACTAACTGTAGTAAAAGGGAACAATAATCCTACCTTGTAAGAAATCATAAAGATTAGGGATAATGCATGCAACATGCTGGCCCCACTTCTGAGGTACTAGAATAGTTCAATAAAAAAAAAACTGACAATCTTCATCAGAAAATTATATTCCTAAATCTCAGCAGTTTAGTCATCAGAGAAAGGCTATTAAAAAGCAATGTTTTCATGTTTGACATCAGTTTTTGTTAGGGATTATCATAAAACGTATTCATAAGAATTATGGATATTATGAAAAATATAGTTGAAGACCTTGTCCTTTATGTTGTATAATCATTAACTCTAATTTTAAAAACCTAGGTAAATTGCATGGAGCTTAGCATCAGAAAATGTTTTCCTATCTTCACTTGAATTTTATAAGTGAGATTCAGCATTTACTTTTTTTTTTTTTTAATTTGGTTGCCAGGGAGGCCAGAACTAAACTAAATATAGTATTAGCCTTGATCTCTTCAACCCTGTGTGGGTTTTTAGTCTTGCTTTATATTTTTATTTTAAGAATTACTTAAAATCTTTTTATCACCACCGCTATATTACTGTAAAACAACTACTCCAACTGCTTTGGTGACGACTACTATCCTGTGCAGCATAGTAATTTACCAGATACAAAGTAGCCACGTGTATTATTTCATTATGGTTTCATAACCACCATATAATATGGTCAATATTCTTATTATCAGCCTCAATTTCGTAGTGAGCAGTAAAGTTCAAGAAACAACTTGACCTATAGGTAAAGTAGGAATACGAAGTCAGTATTTTTGTCTTTAAGTCCTGGGTTATTTTTGAGACATAATTAAAAATCTTTGTTAGAAGTAGTCTGGGTATAACATAAAAGCTTTGTAGGTTCTGTTTATATGCTGGATTACGTTTATTGATTTGCACATGTTGAGCCAGCCTTGCATCCCAGGGATGAGGCCCACTTGATCATGGTGGATAAGCTTTTTGATGTGCTGCTGGATTCAGTTTGCCAGTATTTTATTGAGGATTTTTGCATTGATGTTCATCAGGGATATTGGTCTAAAGTTCTCTTTTTTTGTTGTGCCTCTGCCAGGCTTTGGTATCAGGATGATGCTGGCCTCATAAAATGAGTTAGGGAGGATTCCCTCTTTTTCTATTGATTGGAATAGTTTCAGAAGGAATGGTACCAGTTCCTCCTTGTACCTCTGGTAGAATTTGGCTGTGAATCTGTCTGGTCCTGGACTTTTTTTGGTTGGTAAGCTATTAATTATTGCCTCAGTTTCAGAGCCTGTTATTGGTATATTCAGAGATTCCACTTCTTCCTGGTTTAGTCTTGGGAGGGTGTATGTGTCGAGGAATTTATCCATTTCTTCTAGATTTTCTAGTTTATTTGTGTAGAGGTGTTTATAGTATTCTCTGATGGTAGTTTGTATTTCTGTGGGATCAGTGGTGATATCCCTTTTATCATTTTTTATTGCGTCTATTTGATTCTTCTCTCTTTTCTTCTTTATTAGTCTTGCTAGCGGTCTATCTATTTTGTTGATCTTTTCAAAAAACCAGTTCTTGGATTCATTGATTTGTTGAAGGATTTTTTGTGTCTCTATTTCCTTCAGTTCTGCTCTGATCTTAGTTATTTCTTGCCTTCTGCTAGCTTTTGAATGTGTTTGCTCTCGCTTCTTTAGTTCTTTTAATTGTGATGTTAGGGTGTCAATTTTGGATCTTTCCTGCTTTCTCTTGTGGGCATTTAGTGCTATAAATTTCCCTCTACACACTGCTTTGAATGTGTCCCAGAGATTCTGGTATGTTGTGTCTTTGTTCTCGTTGGTTTCAAAGAACATCTTTATTTCTGCCTTCATTTCATTATTTACCCAGTAGTCATTCAGCAGCAGGTTATTCAGTTTCCATGTAGTTGAGCGGATTTGAGTGAGTTTTTTAATCCTGAGTTCTAGTTTGATTGCACTGTGGTCTGAGAGACAGTTTGTTATAATTTCTGTTCTTTTACATTTGCTGAGGAGTGCCTTACTTCCAACTATGTGGTCAATTTTGGAATAGGTGTGGTGTGGTGCTGAAAAGAATGTATATTCTCTTGATTTGGGGTGGAGATCTCTGTAGATGTCTATTAGGTCCACTTGATCCAGAGCTGAGTTCAATTCCTGGATATCCTTGTTAACTTTCTGTCTTGTTGATCTGTCTAATGTTGACAGTGGGGTGTTAAAGTCTCCCATTATTATTGTGTGGGAGTCTAAGTCTCTTTGTAGGTCTCTAAGGACTTGATTTATGAATCTGGGTGCTCCTGTATTGGGTGCATATATATTTAGGATAGTTAGCTCTTCTTGTTGAATTGATCCCTTGACCATTATGTAATGGCCTTCTTTGTCTCTTTTGATATTTGTTGGTTTAAAGTCTGTTTTATCAGAGACTAGGATTGCAACCCCTGCCTTTTTTTGTTTTCCATTTGCTTGGTAGATCTTCCTCCATCCTTTTATTTTGAGCCTACATGTGTCTCTGCACTTGAGATGGGTTTCCTGAATACAGCACACTGATGGGTCTTGACTCTTTATCCAATTTGTCAGTCTGTGTCTTTTAATTGGAGCATTTAGTCCATTTACATTTAAAGTTAGTAATATTATGTGTGAATTTGATACTGTCATAGGTGGGAATTGAACAATGAGAACACATGGACACAGGAAGGGGAACATCACACTCCGGGGACTGTTGTGGGGTTGGGGGAGGGGTGAGGGATAGCATTAGGAGATATACCTAATGCTAAATGACGAGTTAATGGGTGCAGCACACCAGCATGTCACATGTATACATTTGTAACTAACCTGCACATTGTGCACATGTACCCTAAAACTTAAAGTATAATAATAATAAATAAAAAGTCAGGAAACAACAGGTGCTGGAGAGGATGTGGAGAAATAGGAACACTTTTACACTGTTGGTGGGACTGTAAACTAGTTCAACCATTGTGGAAGTCAGTGTGGTGATCCCTCAGGGATCTAGAACTAGAAATACCATTTGACCCAGCCATCCCATTACTGGGTATATACCCAAAGGATTATAAATCATGCTGCTATAAAGACACATACACACGTATGTTTATTGAGGCGCTATTCACAATAGCAAAGACTTGGAACCAACCCAAATGTCCAACAATGATAGACTGGACTGAGCAAATGTGGCACATATACACCATGGAATACTATGCAGCCATAAAAAATGATGAGTTCATGTCCTTTGTAGGGACATGGATGAAGCCGGAAACCATCATTCTCAGCAAACTATCGCAAGGACAAAAAACCAGACACAGCATGTTCTCACTCATAGGTGGGAATTGAACAATGAGAACACATGGACACAGGAAGGGGAACATCACACACTGGGGACTATTGTGGGGTGGGGGTAGGGGGGAGGGATAGCATTAGGAGATATACCTAATGCTAAATGACGAGTCAATGGGTGCAGCACACCAACATGGCACATGTATACATATGTAACAAACCTGCACATTGTGCACATGTACCCTAAAACTTAAAGTATAATAAAATAAAAATAATTAAATAAATAAATAAACATAGGAGAAAAGCTCCTTGACATTGGCTTTGGCAATGATTTTTTGGATATTACATCAAAAAAAAAAAAAAAAATCTTTGTAGGGTAAAGGGGAATGTTTTCCTCTGTTTTGATTCCTCACGTCCTGCCCAGAATGTAAATATTCGTGTGACTTGTAAAAGTTGTGTGTGTGTGTGCGTGTGTGTGTGTGTTTGATGTTTATTTATTCTTTGCTTTCCCTAGAAGCATGCAGCTTTTGTAGTGACTAATGACATTCTGCCTGTAAAGCTGGGTGATAATCTCTTGGGAAGTATTTAGCACAGACACCTCCACCTATTAAACTTTCAATAAATATGAGTGTCATTTCTAGATACCATGTTGGGGGTGGTACTGGACTCATCTTTTGCCTTGTTCAAAATGAATTTGAAGTTGAACTTAGTTACTTAATTAATCTGACAACAGTTCAATTAGGCAGGTAATCATTCCTATTATGCACAGGAGGAAATTAGGCCTGAGAGTTAATCCTTGGATAGAATTGATTTTTTGTTGCTGTTGATAGTCAGGAAAAAGCACGTCATTCCCTCAACACCTTGCTTCAAAATATCTTTAACTAAATATCCAGTTTCTTCTCTCACAATTTCTACCTTACATGAACAGATAGAACACATTTCAGCCATGTTCTTTGCAACTTTATGACAAAGATCACCTTTCCTTCAGTTTCCAGTAACATGTTTCTCATTTTTGTCTGAAATTTTAACAGAACTGTCTTTAACATTCATATTTCTATAAATAGTCTGTTCATGAAAATATATGTATTCTCTAAAATGATAAAGGCCTTTTCTATAGCTTTCCTCTTTTCTTCTTGAGCCCTCGCTTGAATCACCTTTTAATGTGCATATTTATACCAAAAAGTACTTCTGGAAATCTAAGCTTGTGTTCTAGCATGGACCTCAAAACACTTTCAGCCTCGGTCATCTCCTAGTTACAACGTCACTTCCACATTGTTAATGTATTTTTAATAGCGGCATCCCACTTCTTCAGTGCCAATTTTTTTTGGTCTTCTTGGCCTGCCATAACAAAATGCCACGGACTACATGGCTTAGCCATCAGAAATTTATTTTCTCATCTCAAAGTTTTGGAGGATGAAAAGTCCAAAATCAAGGTTGCAGCAGGTTTTGGTTTTAGGAAAGGGCTCTTTTCCTGGCTTGAAGACGGCTGCATGGGGAGATAAATCCCTCACCCCTCCTCTTTTTATAAGACAACCAGTTTTATCTGATCAAGGTCTCACCTTTATGATCTCATTTAATTTTCATCACGTCCTAAAGGTCCTTTCTTCACATATAGTAACGTTAAGGGTTAGGAGAGAGGCATGTAAATATTTTGGAAACACAATCCAATCCTTAGCAACATCCTTTAGTATTTCTTTAAAGTAGATTTGCTAGTTACAATTTCTTTTGGCTTTTGTTTATCTTGGAATGTCTTGATTACTGCTTCATTTTTGAAATACTGTCTTCCTGGCTATATGATTCTTGTCTGACAGTGTTGGGTTAGGGTTTTTGTTGTTGTTGTTGTTGTTATTGTTGGCAATTTAAATAGATCACACCAGCTTCATTTGTCCTGTGTAGTTTCAGATGACGGGATAGCTATTAATCCTGTTGGAGTTTCTTTATTCATAATGCATCATTTTCTCTTGCTGTTTTCATGATTTTACCTTTGGCTTTTATATTTTCGATTGTTATGTGTGTTTTTTGTGGGTCACTTTATGTTTAGCCTAACAGGAGCTGATTGAACTTGTTAAATGCCAGCAATACACTTTTTCATAAAATTTGTAAAGTTTTCAGCTTTTAGTTCTCTGCATAAACTTCCTGTTTCTCTATTTCTATATTCTTCTCTGGAAATCTCATTACATGTATGTTGCTACATTTAATGTAACCTCACATTTTTCCTAGCCTCGGTTTGTGTATTTTCATTCCATTTTCTCTCTTTTCTTTACTTTATGTTTATTATGTTATTATTATTATTATTTGAGACAGAATCTTGCTCTGTTGCCCAGGCTGGAGTGTAGTGCCATGACCTTGGCTCACTGCAACCTCCTCTGCCTCCTGGGTTAAAGCAATTCTCATAACTCAGCCTCCCGAGTAGCTGGGACTACAGGTGTGCACCACCATGCCCAGGTAATTTTTGTATGTTTTGTAGAGACAGGGTTTCACTTTGTTGGCCATGGTAGTCTCGAACTCCTGGCCTCAAGTGATCTGCCCATCTAAGCCTCCCAAAGTGCTGGGATTACATGCATGAGTCACCCCACCAGGCTCCTTTCTTTTCTTTAGATTGTAAAATATGTACTTATCTATTCACAAGTTCACTATTTTTTTCCTAGAGCTTGAATCTACTGTTGAATCTCTGGTGAATTTTCATTTTGGTTATTGTACATTTCTATTTCAGACTTCCATTTGGTTTATTTTTATAGTTTTTTTATATGCATTGATATTGTGTATTTGATGAGACATTGCCATCATATCTCTATTTTTTAGATAAGGCCTCTTTTCCTTTTTTTTTTTTTTTTCTATATTCAACATCTCAACTCCTTGAAAGCCAGTTCCTATTGACTGATCTTCTCTGCCCCGTCTAGTATATGTGGTCATATTTCCATTTCCTTCCATGTCTCCTAAGGTTTTTGCAGAAAACGGGACTATATTATTTAAAATAATATATTGTAGCAACTCTGAATAGTTACACGCTAACCATCACCACTACCACCATGGCTGGTGGTTGTTATCTTCATTATTTATTTTTTTAGTGACTTACCTGAACTAATTGTGTGAGGTTTATTCTTTTTGCACTGTGCAGCCTCTGATGTTGCTACTAAGATTTGTTTTGTTTTGTTTTCAACTTTTTCTCTGGCTACCTAGGTTTCTTACCTGGGTTAACATAAGCCACTTACTGGTAAAAGGTTGTCTTAGTGTGTTTGGGATGCTATTACAAAATACCATAAACGGTGTGGCTTATAAAAGCATAAATTTATTTTCACAGCTCTAAAGGCTGGAAAGTTGAAGAACAAGGTGCTATCAGATGCAGTGTCCAGTAAAATCCCAGTTCTTAATTCATAGAGCAGCATCTTCTCACTGTGTCCATACATGGTGAAAGGGGTGAACAAGCTCCCTTCAGCTTGTTTTATAAGAGCACTAATCTCATTCATGAGAGTTCTTCCCTCAGGACATAATCAACTCCCAAAAGGCCTCACCCCTAGCACCAACACCTTGAAGATTAAGATTTTAACATGAATTTTGGGAGAATGCAAACATTTGGATTACAACAGTGGCTGGGCTTAAGATTCTTTGCTCACGTAAATTTACTCTTTGCTATTTAATTTTGTATCACTTGAAATTTGCTGTCATAGTTCAAGGAATTTATGTTTTTGCTTCACAATAAGTTAGATTTTTCCTCCTTCATCACTCCTGATAGGGCACAGACTTAAGCATGCACACAGTTTTCTAGACTTTTAAAAGGAAATGCAATTTTATGTTTAACCTTGGATTCCTAGATGTTACCTTTGGGTCAGAGTAGCTTATTGTTCAGCCACTGTTTAATCGTGTATATATTCTTATGCTCTTCTTGCCATTGAGCATCCTGCCTCCTGTTGATGTCTCTATTTGTAACACGAGGAATATATTAAGTCTGTCCTGCTCTGATCGCTTCTGAAGGAATATAGTCTTGTGCATGAAAAACGTCCCTAACTTCCAGGATTGGGTTAGGGCATTTAGGAGGGCTCCAGGAAGGCTTTTCTTATCTATTTCTTTCCCTGGTTCTTTCTGTTACATTTCTGACTGCTCTATTACTTTTGCTTATTTCTACGAATATCATGGAGTTATTTTGACAATACTCTACAGCACACATTTCTGCATGTTCTTTTCCAAATAAAGACAGTCTTCTAGGGCATAACTGTGGAGCTTTCTGCTACGCCTATTCTGGGCAAAAATTCTGCCCCAGTGCATAAGAGCTGGGGGCAGGAATAGTTCTACAAGTTGGCACTGAGGAGTGTGGTATCCATTTTATTCTCAAACACAGCTTAAGAAAACTGCAGATCTAGGAAGATTTATAGCAATATAAAGTAATGATCCAGACTCCTCCCTGGGTCCTAAATATAACATTGCAATTATAATATTTTATTCCTTTTCATATATATAAATGAATCTTCAGAGTGGCTATAATAAGTAATCTCCATTCTTCTCAAAACTTCTTGCATATCTTCTTCCTCTTAAAGATGACTTTGTCTTCAACTTCTGAGAACAAAATGAAGACATTTAATAAAAACATTTTAGCATCTGTTACTCAAACAAAAATCTGTCTTGCACCTGCTCATGCTTTTAATTTTGTTACTTTCTCAAGTACAGTGGTGCTTTGGGCAGTCCCTTCTTTAGAATTCTCAACTTCAATTCTCTATCAACTCTTCCTCATTTAAGTAATTACAAGTTTCCTACATATTAAAGCAGTGTGAACCTGATCTAAAAAAGTGTCACCAACAAAAGAAAAGACAAAATATATACGGACTTCATGTTCCTTTGTTGTTATTGGCAATGTCTTCATTCCATTATTGCTATTCATTGCTCAACATATTTTGTTCTGACCTTTGCTTCCATGACTGAGAAATGATTTGTAATGTACTCTCTGCTACTTAATTAGAGAGACTAGTTTCACTAAAAACATTGTTTTGGCTTATTAACATGATTCTACATTATCCACAGAGACTTTCTTAGCGAAATAATCTCTCCTTTCAGCTGTTCTTAGCAAAATTGACTTTTAGTTAATTCAGTCACAAACTTCAGGTTTACATTTTCATTGATGAGATTAATATTTACATGTCATGACCCATAATAAACTTAAATTCAATTTGTGCAAACTTAAAAAACTCTTTTGGGTTACTTTTGATGGCCCTTATCTCTACAAATGATTACATGAAAAAAATTGCAGGAGCATATATTTTTTAATTTTTTAATTGAGGTATAATATTTATATATAATTTATCATCTTTGCCATTTTAAATGTACAGTTTGGTGGTCATAAATCAATTTCTATTCTTTCTTTTTCTTTCATCCCTCCTCTCCTCTCCTCTCCTCTCCTCTCCTATTCCTGGGCTCTGGTAGGCAACAATCTTCTCTACCTTCATGAGATCCACTTTTTTAGCTGCCACATACAAATGAGGAAATGCAATATCTGTCTTTCTGTGCTTGGCTTATTTCACTTAACATAACAGCCTCCAGTTCCATCCATGTTGCTGCAAATGAAAGATTTTTATTCATTTTTATGGCTGAAAAATATTCCATTGTGTATGTACGCCCCTTTTTCCTTATCCATTCATCTGTTGATGGCCACTTAGGGTGATTTTATATCTTGGCTATTATGAATATTACTAATACTGCAATGAACATGGGAGTGAAGATAAATCTTTGATATATTGATTTTCTTTCCATTTTATATATACTCAGTAGTGGAATTGCTGGGTCACATAGAAGTTCTATTTTTAATTTTTGATGAACCTCTGTACTGTTCTCCATAGTGGCTATACTTATTTACATTCCCACCAGCAGTGTGTAAGAGTTCTTCTTTCTAGACATTCTCAACCAGAATCTGTTATTTTGATACAAGACATCTTAAATGAGGAGAGACAATATCTCATTGTAGTTTTGATTTTCATTTTTCTGATGATTAGTGATATTGAGCATTTTTTTCATATACTTGTTGGCTATTTGTGTGTTTTTTCAGAGATATCTGTTCAGATATTTTGCCTATTTTTAAATTATATTATTATTATTATTTTTTGCTATTTAATTGTTCAGTTTCTTATATATTTTGGTTATTGATGTTTTATCAGACAAACAGGTTGCAAGAATTTCTCTCATTCTGTAGGTTGTCTCTTCACTTTATCTATTACTCCCTTGCAATGCAGAAGCTTGTTAGCTTGATGTAATCTCAGTTGTCTATTTTTGCTCTGATTGCCTGTGATTTTGAGGTCTTCTACAAAAAGTTCTTGGCCAGACCAATCTCCTGAGGCATTTCTTCAGTCTTTTTTTTTTCTGGTAGTTTCATAGTTTAAGGTCTTAAATTCAAGTCTTTAGCCTATTTTGACTTGTTTTTTTTTGTGTATGTTGGGAAAGAGGGGTCTAGTTTTATTCTTCTGCATACAGTTATCC
Source organism: Homo sapiens (assembly GCF_000001405.40). Classification (NCBI taxonomy): domain Eukaryota; kingdom Metazoa; phylum Chordata; class Mammalia; order Primates; family Hominidae; genus Homo; species Homo sapiens. The sequence goes on from NC_000003.12 coordinate 80,426,718, forward strand.
TGTTTTCCCAGTACCATTTATTTTTTTCCCATGATATGGTTTGGCTCTGTGTCCCCACCAAAATCTCACCTTAAATTGTAACAATCTTTATATGTCAAGGGCAGGGACAAGTGGAGATAACTGAATCATGGGGGTGGTTTCTCCTATACTGTTCTCATGACAGTGAATAAGTCTCATGAAATCTGATGGTTTCATAAATGGGAGTTCTGCACAAGCTCTCTTGCTCACCTCCATGTAAGATGTGACTTTGCTCCTCATTCACCTTCCACCATGATTGTGAGGCCTTCCCAGCCACGTGGAACTGTGAGTCAATTAAACATCTTTCCTTTATAAATTACTCAGTCTCTGTTATCTCCTTATTAGCAACATGAGAACAGAGTAGTACACCCCATTGTAAGTTCTTGGCACCTTTGTTGAAGAGCAGTTGGTTGTAAATGCATGGATTTATATGTGGGTTCTCTATTTTGTTCCATTGGTCTTTGTGTCTGTTTTTATGCAAGTACAATGCTGTTTTGGTCACTACAACTTTGTAATAAAGTTTGATGTGAGGTTGTATGATGCTTCAGCTTTGTTCTTTTTGCTCAAGATGGCTTTAGCTGTTCAGGATTTTTGGTGATTTGATATAAATTTTGATAAAAATTTTGGATTTTTTCTACTTCTATGAAGAATGTCAAGGATGTTCACTTTCATTGCTGTTATTCAATATAATACTGGAAGTACTGGCCAGATCAATTCGGCAATTAAATAAATAAAGGCCATCCAAATTGGAAACAAAGAAGTCAAATTAGCCTTCTTCGCAGATGTCATAATCTTATAACTAAAAATACCTAAAAACCACCAAAAACTCTTAGAACTGATAAACAAATTCAGTAAAGTTGTAGCATACAAAGTCAACATACAAAAATCAGCAGCATTTATATATGCCAACAGGAAACAATATAAAAGAATTAAGAAAGTAATCCCCTTTATAATAGCTACAAAAAATATAAAATGCCTAGGATCAATCTAACTAAAAAAAATCTATAAAGGAAAATGATAAAATTCTCATGAAATAAATAGAAGGGGACACAAAAAGTGGAAATATATTTTATGTTCATGGATTGGAAGGTTAATATTGTTAAAATGACCATACACCCAAAGCAATTTATAGATTCTGTGCAATTCCTATCAAAATACAGGGACCACCTATTTTTAATTGTGGAAAATTAGGAGCATATATCTAACTCTTTCTAATCTCTTTTTCTGCACCCCATTCAATTAATACTCAATTCTATTCTATGTAGTTCATAAATTGTATTAGGGTTTACCAGAGAAACAGAACCAATGTATATTTATTATTCATACTTATTACAGGAATTTTTCTGACAAGATTATCAAGGCTGAGAAATCTCACTATCTGCTGTCTGCAAGCTGGAGAATCAGGAAGTTTGGTTGAGTTATTCCGTCTCAGTCTGAAGGGCTGGGAATCAATAGGGGGAGTCCTCTGGTGTAAATCCCAGAATTTGGAGGTCTGAGAACCAGGAGTCCAATGTCCAAGGGCATGTGAAGATGGATGTCTCATCTCCAGAAGAGAGACAGCAAATTTGATCTTCTGCTTTTTTGCTCTATTTCAGCTCTTAATGGATTGGATGATATCTACCCCCATTGGTGAGGAGGGATCTTCTTTACTTAGTCCACTGATTCAAATGCTAGTCTCTTCTGAAAATATCCTCATAAACACACCTATAGGTAATGTATTAACAGCCATCTGGGCATTTCTTAGTCCAGTCAACTTGATACATATAATTAACCATCACATACATATCAATCACATTTATCACTTCATCTCCTTTCATAATGGCACCTACTTAGTTAAAGTCACGATGATTCCTTACTTAGAAAAATACAAAGCCATCTAACATACTAATTGTCACCTAAATGGATTTTCTGTTTAAATTGTTGTCCTACACCCATACCTGCTCAGTCCATTCTGAACACTTTATTAAAAATGAACTTTTTCTTTAAATTTTATTTTTATTAATTTGTTTACTGTTCTGGGGTTTGTTACATAGGTAACCATGTGCCATGGTGATTTGCTGCACCTATCAACCCATCACCTAGGTAATAAGTCCAGCATGCATTAGCTCTTTCCTTAATGCTCTCCCTATACCCTCCCTCTTCTGATGGGCCCCAGTGTGTATTGTTCCCCTCCCTGTGTCCGTGTGTTTTCATTGTTCATCTCCCACTTATAAATAAAAATGAACTTTTAAAGAATTATTCTTTGTGTCATTTCTCCTGCTTTACCCTAAGGATAAATCCTTTAATACCTTTTATACAATTAAACATCCATCATGCTTAAGGTAGAAAGAGGGTCACCATTGAAAACTCTATTCTGATTATTATGCTATAAGAGCAAGAAATATTTTTATTTTTCTTATTGAAGCCAAATAAAGCTAAAGAAATGTGAATCTATAATGGCAGATTCTTGTATATTTTTAAATTGAGCTTATTTTCATCTTATTTTTTAAACTTTTATTTTAGGTTCAAGGGTTCACAGGTTTGTTATATAGGTAAACTTGTGTCACAGGAGTTTGTCATACAGATTATTTTGTCACCCAGTTACTAAGCCTAGTACCTCATAGTTATTTTTCCTGTTCCTCTCCCTGCTGCCACCCTCCACCCTCAAGCACACTCCAGTGTCTTTTGTTCCCCTTAGTGTCTCTGTGATCTCATTATTTAGCTTCCACTTATAAGTACGAACATGCGGTAGTTAGTTTTCTGTTCCTGTGTTAGTTTGCTAAGGATGATGGTGTCTGGCTCCATATATGTCTCTGCAAAGGACACGATCTCATTATTTTTTATGGTTGCATAGTATTCCATCTTGTTTATGTATCACATTTTCTTTATTTAGTCTCCATTGATGGGCATTTAGGATGATTCTACATCTTTGTAGATGAGCATACATGTGCATTTTACCCATAAAGGTAAAAAGGTAAAAAGATTTATACCCCTTTGGGCATATACCCAGTAATGGGATTACTGGATCAAATGGTAGTTCTGTTTTTAGCTCTTTGAGGAATTGTCACACTGCATTTAACAATGGTTAAACTAATTTATACTCCCACCAACAGCATGAGTCTTCCCTTTTCACCACAACCTCATCAGCATGTTATTTACTTTTTAATAGTAGCCATTTTGAGTGGTGTGAGATGATATCTCATTGTGGTTATGATTTGCATTTTTCTAATGATCAGTGATTTTGAACTTTTTTTCATGATTGTTGGCCACATGTATGTCTTCTTTTGAAACATGTCTGTTCATGTTTTTTGCCCACTTTTTTATGGGGTTATTTGTTTTATTCTTATATATTTGTTTCTTCTTGTAAATTTCCCCTTATAAATCCTTGATATTAGACCTTTGTCAGATGCAGAATTTGCAAATATTTTCTCCCATTCTGTTGGTGGCTTATTTACTCTGTTGATAGTTTCTTGGCTGTGCAGAAGCTCTTAATTTTGTGTATTTATTTATTTATTTATTTATTTATTTTTGAGACAGTGTTTCGCTCTTGTTGCCCATGCTGGAGTGTAATGTCGCGATCCCGGCTCACGGCAACCTCCACCTCCCAGGTTCAAGCAATTCTTCTGCCTCAGCCTCCCAAGTAGCTGAGATTACAGGCATGCAGCACCACACCCTGCTAATTTTGTATTTTTAGTAGAGAGGGGGTTTCTCCATGTTCGTAGGCTGAACTCAAACTTCCGGCCTCAGGTGATCCGCCCGCCTCGGCTTCCCAAATTACTGGGATTACAGACGTGAGCCACCGCACCCGGCAGAACCTCTTAACTTTAATTAGATTACATTTGTCAAGTTTTGCTTTTGATGTGACTGCTTTTGGATTCTTCATCATGAAATCTGTGCCAGTTCCTTTGTCCAGAATGGTCTTGCCTAGATTAACAGTATTGCCTGGATCAACAAATTCAGAAGGTTTTTTTTTTGAAAAAAATTAATAAGATAGATAGACCACTAGCAGACTAATAAAGAAGAAAAGACAGAAGATCCAAATCAACACAATCAGAAATGACAAAAGTGATGTTGCCACTGACCCCACAGAAATAAAAATAGCCATCCGAGACTATGATGAACACCTCTATGCACACAAACTAGAAAATTTGGAGGAGATAAATAAATTCCTGGACACATACAGTCTCCCAAGAGTAAGTCAGGAAGAAATTGATTCCCTAAACAGACCAATAATGAGCGCCAAAACTGAGTTAGTAATAAATAGCCTGACAATCTAAAAAAAGCGCAGGATCAGACGGATTCACAGCCAAATTTTATCAGATGTACAAAGAAGAGCTGGTACCATTCCTACTGAAACTACAGCAAAAAAAATTGAGAACTAAGAAATCCTCCCCGACTCATTCTGTGAGGCGAATATTATCCTCATACCAAAACCTGGAAGAGACACAACAGAAAAAGAAAACTTCAGGTCGATATCCTTGATGAACATTGATGCAGAAATCCTCAACAAAATACTTGTAAACCAAATCCAGCAGCATATCGAGAAACTAATACACCACAACCACGTAGGTTTTATGCCTGGGATGCAAGGTTGATTCAACATATGCAAATCAATAAATGTGATTCGTCACTAAACAGAACTAAAAATAAAAGCCATGTATTCATCTCAGATAGAGTCAGAAAAGGCTTTTGATAAAATCCAAAATACCTTCCTGTTAAAAACTATCCAAATACTATGTATTGAAGGAATATACCTTAAAATAATAAGAGCCTTCTATGACAAACCCACAGCCAACATTAGATTGAGTGAGCAAAAGCTGGAAGCATTCCCCTTGAAAACTGGCACAAAGCAAGGATGCCCTCTCTCACCACTCCTATTCAGTATGGTATTGGATACCATGGTCAGGTCAATCAAGCAAGAGAAAGAAAGAAAGGGCATCCAAAAAGGAGAGAGAAAATCAGACTACTTCTGTTTGCAAATGGCATGTTTCTGTATTTAGAAAACCCCGTAGTCTTGACCTAAAAGCTCCTTCAGCTAACAACTTCAGCAAAGTTTCAGCATACAAAATCAACATGCAAAAATCATGAGCATTCCTGTACACCAAAAACAGCCAAGCTGAGAGCCAAATCAAGAAGGCAATCTCATTCACAACTGCCACAAAAAGAAAATACCTAGGAATACAGCTAACCAGGGAGGTTTAAGATCTCTACAATGAGAACTATAAAATACTGCTCAAATAAATCAAAGATGACATAAATAGAATAGCATTTTACGTTTTTGTATTGGAAGAAACAATGTCATTAAAATGGCCATACTGCCCAAAGCGATTTATAGATTCAATGCTATACCTATCAAACTATGAACGACATTCCTTACAGAACTAGAAAAAGCTATCTAAAGTTTCATCTGGAACCAAAAAGAGCCCAAATAGCCAAGGCAATCTTAAGCAAAAATAATAAAGCTAAAGGCATTATGTTACCTGACTTCAAACTATACTACAGGGCTGCAGTAACCAAAACAGCATAGTACTGGTACAAAAACAGACACATAGACCAATGGAACAGAACAGAGAACACAGAAATAAGGCCACACACCTACAACCATCTGATCTTTGAAAAAACTGACAAAAACAAGCAATGAGGAAAGCTCTCTATATTCAATAAACGGTGCTAGGATGACTCCTTAGTCATATGCAGAAGATTGAACCTGGACCCCTTCCTTATACAATACACAAAAATCAACTCAAGATGTATTAAAGATTTAAATGTAAAACCTAAAACCATAAAACCCTGGATGACAACCTAGGCAACATTCTGGGCATAGGAACATGTATGTATGTTTTAATCCATAAAATATTGTGTCTACTTCAGATAGGGGTACGCTCTTAAGACTATACTCTTTTGGGATTGTGGAGATGTTGGTTAAAGGACAAAAAAATTCAGTTAGACAGAAGAAATAAGTTCAATAAATTTGTTGTTTGTCAAAGTAACCACAGGTATTGGCAACATATTAGATATTTTAAAATTGCTAAAAGTGTAGCTGTGAAGTGTTATCATAACAAAAAGTAAATATGTGAAGTAATACATTTGTGAAATATCTTGATTTAGCCATTCTGTAATACATATGTATATCAAAACGTCACTTCGTACACCATAAAAATATACAATTTTTACTTGTCAGTTAAAAAAAACTACTACGTTCTTTTCTCTTTGAGGAAAAGGTGACAGGCAGAGCATATAAAACTATAAAAAGATCAAAATTCTCTAAATAGTAAATTTCGATTTGTTTAAAACATGTAATAGTGTATTTGATATTTTATATCCTCCACAATAGATTTTCCAGAAAAACAAGATTTCCTAGGATCATCAGCACCTTTCCTTTTGACACATGATGGTTCTTGAAATTTTTTTTTCATTTTTTTTCTCCTATTATTCACATCTTTTCTTTCATTTTTTCTCTCAGGTATTTATGTGCTCTCTGTAACATATTTATATGAGCACTAACCTAAGAAATAATTTTAAAGACAATTTATAGTTACAACCTTCTGAGAAAATGGAATTTATACATACTTCATATTTGCACATATACATCGTAGTATAAAAATGCTAAGATAAAAGTGTGCAGTAAAAATTGCCACTCTCCAATTTTGCTTATCTTGGATGTGATTAAAATGCTGTTTTTGCCTTAATTAAAGAAGAACTTGAAAACTAACAGGACTTTTCCACATATTTCATTTGTAACAATTTGTTGGGTTGAGAACTCACATTAAAAGAGCTTCTTCAAAACTGGTGTTCAATCTAGGTTATTTATGTTATTTTATGGAGCAGTTTAGTAGAAACTATATTTGGTAAAGAAATAGAGGTCTAATTTTCGATGGAGATTTAAAAAATATTTTGAGATTTTTTTCTCCTTAATTTTGAATATCTACAATTAATTCTTATTAGCATAAGAATTATTTAATTTCTTAATTTTAGAACTATGCCATAATAATATGTCATTGTAAAAACATTAATATTCACAAGACTAAGTTTTTATTATTGCAGAGTTGCCCAAACCATTAAATATACCCCAGTGCTATTCCTATAACAGTGGGATTATTTTTTTCATTTGACTGAATGGGAAGTTTTGCTGATACTAAAGAAGCAAACTGCTTTTAAACTTTGCTAATAATAAAGAGACAAAATGCTTTTAAGTTAAAAAATTTTTATGTTTGCTTGCAGCTGTGTAAAATCATATCTACTAACACATTAGAATAATAATAATTTTATAATTATGGTTGACTCAATAACACAGAGCATCATTTGTAGAAGATAATATCTCATAAGATTTCAGGAAAATTAATAGAAATGAAAAAAATTGGAAGTTGAATATTCATGTAATTGCAATTCAAATATGTAGTCAATGTTTAGTTATGAAGAATAATTCTTAGAAGATCCCAGGTTGCCATGTTCATCGTAGTAAAGCTTTTTATTATATATGTGTCATTTATTCTTAGCTCACAGCCTAGATGATAGACATTTAAGAAAAGTGCATAATCTAGATGTTAAATGTGGATTAGATTTTTGCATTTGGTATAACACAGTCTGCTGGGCTAATGCTGATGATTTAACAGGGGCAATTATTCTTTATTGAAAAGTACTACATCATAATATGTACTGTTCTCGTTAGAACCAGTTACATGATTATAATTAAGAACTAAATAGTATGCTGTTGTGTATTCCATCTTTTACCATGAGAAGCTCTAAAAGAAGAATGGCAGTCGCAGATGAAAACCATGTCCCTTATGTTTCTGAAGGAACTAATAGCACCCTTTGGAGTTGCTAATTGGCAAAAATCTTCAACCACCAGCTTTTGAGGTACGGTTACCATGGAAAACTTGCTTTGAAGTTGGCACTTGTGAATATTTGACTTAATTTTCTTTCCAAGTTTAGGGACTGGATGAAAAACATTATCATTCTTCCACAGACAAGCCATTCTTGAAAAGTCCAATAAATGATTGCCATCACAGTAGTTATAGACATTCATTTAGGGGATGAGTGAGCTAATTCCCAAAAATATTTTCCTAATGGCGCATAGTTATTTTCAATCTCTATTTTTTTGTTTTTGCTTTTGTTTTTATTTTTATAGATACATAACAGTATGTATGGTCCATAAAATGCTACTATTTTAATGTCATTTTCTACTACTGTGTGAAGATCAATGATAAATTAAATCAAATTTCCCCAACATAGAAATATTAAATATATAAGTTGAAAACACAGTCTTTAATTGCTTGTGGTCTTGTGAAAGGAGAGCATTTCACAAAGTATGTGACTATTTCCTAAGATTTATTGATCTTGTTCTTTCTCAGGTTATCATAAACCAAACAATGGGATTTATGAACAAATGTTAAGTTTTAAAACAGTATATTTATAAAGAGAAGATAGTTTAGATTTATATTTCAGTAACAAAATAAGTGTTAGACTCTTTAAATTTGCACTTGTAGGATTCTTATATGAAATATGTGAAGCAGATGTTCAAATCAAATAGACCCATAGCATACATTTGAATATGTGGATAAAAAGAGACATGTGTTTAAAAAAGGAATGTAACAAAACAGCAAGTAAAGAAAAATGTCAGAGTGAAACATGCCGTAATATAGTAAAACCAACTTAGAACACAGTAAGGCAGTTCACTGGAACACACTTTTAAGTGTTGTTTCCCCCTTTCCCAGGCAAGTAGCACTTCCATGCAATTTCTTGATAATAAGCAAAGTAATATTTTGAAATTTATACAAAAGGTATGTAAGTTTATCAGACTAAGATAATAGATAAATTTGAAAATAGTTTATTAAACAGAAGACAATATTTGTACAAAGAAAACAATTATACATAGGTGTACAAATGTTTATGATTTTGTGATACTTTGTAGTCCTGGATTAAAACATAGATTGACTGATATTGATCAATTTCCTGTGGGATCTGAATCAACCTTATAAATAGAGCAATCATTGCTTAGTAAAGTCCCTTGCATTTTTTCTTGTTTCAGTTTCTTTAAAATAGACCAGAACTGTTGTATGTGAAAAAATGCAATCTGACGTTTATTTATGTTGTAAATTTTTTAAAAAGCAAAAATAATATGATCTCCATTGTTTTGCTAATTTTTTACTTTTTTATGTTTAATAAATCAGGTTTAGTTTTTCAAAAATAACGTATTTATTAATGCTGGCATGTATTACCTTTTAGAGATATTATTTTAAATAATTGATTAAAAATAAACTTAATTATTTTGCATTAGACTTTCTGATCTGTAAAATTCTTCTATTAATTTTTTGAAGCTATATCACAAATAAGTAGAAAAGGTAAATTAAGAACATTGATGAAAAGATTAGACAAGTGTTTCCCTAATTAAACATCAAAACAACAAAAAAGTAATATAAGACATTATGCATTACTCATCTAAAGCTTTTGAGAAATAATTATCCTGAATAAAAGTAATAATGGTCACAAGATTGTAAACTTTTTCAGAATAGAGACTATTACTCATATTTTATCCTCCAATGTTCCTTCCTAGTAAGTTTTCAGTAAATTTTTTTTTAATTACAGCTTCTTAAACAACAGTATTAAAAGCAGTAATTTAGAGGTTGTTAAAAAAACTAGAATATTTTTAGAGTATTTCAAAGTCATATGTTTATGAGGGTATTATTGAGAAATTGGTTTCTGTTTCAATGACTTTCATAAAATAAGTGGGATTAAATCTTGGTGTCATGGTTTTCTAAAAGTAATAAATTAGGCAACTGTTTATGCTGCAACATGTTTAGGGTTAGTTTTACCATCTATAATTTGAAGAAATAAATCATACTTAAAACAATGGATTGTTCTTAGGATTAAATGAGTTAATGGGTGCTAAGAGCTTCCAGTAAGGTTGGCATGTAATTGGCATTTAGTAATTGTTTGTTTTTCTTTGTGTATATATAGACTGTGAATAGTACATATTATGAGTTAGGGTGCATAGACATATACTTTTAGTTCTTACTAACGATATAAACTTTAATTATGATAATTCATCACAATATTTCAAAACCTTTTACCTTTCACCTTTCATCTTTTAAGTTGCTCACAAAAATCCAGAGATAAACATGAACGATAAAATCTTTCTTTTTTTACAGATTAATTTATCAATAGTTAAAGTAGTTAAGCAAAATAACCAACTATACACATCCTAAGAAATAATAAAGTTTGAAAAATCTAGATTTCTAAGTTCTATTGTTTTTTATTCCATGATTGCAATGGTGAATATTAATAACAGATTGTGCATATCTGGCAATCAATACAAATTGTCACATAAAACCTGGGGTATAATAGGTGCTATTTAATGTTCTCTTTGTCTGAAAATTATAACATAATTTATATTAAAAATTTTGTTCAATAATAAAAGCTCTAACCTACTGAAAGTAGATTTTATATATATATATATGTTCTTTTAAACTAATCTTCTACATCCATTTCACCATAAATTTATCAAAGTTCTAAAACTATTCAAGAAAATCATACTTCTTATTTTGTTAAAACATTGTCTACCAAATGAATTAATTAATAGTTCCTTCACTTGTCAAACATTTTGAAATCTGGCTTTCAAAACCTAAATTATGGGCCAGGTATGGGGGCTCACACCTGTAATCCCAGCACTTTGGGAGGCCAAGACAGGTGGAACACTTGAGGCCAGGAGTTTGAGACAAGGCTGGCCACCATGGTGAAATCCCATCTCTACTAAAAATACAAAAAATTAGCTGGGTGTGGTGGTGCATGCCTGTAGTCCTGGCTACTGGGGAGGCTGAGGTATGAGAATCACTGGAAGCCAGGATATGCAGGTTTCTGTGAGCCAAGATTAGGCTACTGCACTCCAGCCTGGATGACAGAATGAGACTCCATCTCAAAATATACCAATAACAACAACAATAAACCTAAATTATGTAACATTGTTTCTGTAGTTGTCACTTCAAAATTGCATATCATAAAAATTGTGTCAATATCAAAATGATACTGACTGATGTCTTTTCAATGAATTTATAATTTTAACATTTATGGGAATAGTATATAATAAATTTATCTGTATGATTTCTGAAGACAAAGCATACAATTTAAATTATTATTATTTTGGGGTATGTATGATTTTTTTACTTTTACCTTTTACCAAATATGACACTAATTTTCTTTCAAAGCTCCAAACATAAGGCAGAGATGGTTCCATGCCCATATGCGTAGATGTACCTCACTGCATGTTAGTGATGGTATTCCATTATATAAAGACATTATTGAATTTTTAGTACTTTCTTACACATACACACCAATTCGATTTTACAGTGTTTGTGTGATGTACCCAGTTATAAGACATGACCATTAATTACCTTATTCTTGCTACAACCTGGGTTTGAGTAACCTGCCCGGTCCCACTTGTATTCTGCCTGGCAATCCTCTATCTATTTTGCTGAGCACTGTGACATGCAAACTGGACTGTCAGGGAGACAGATATTAAGTGATAAACTTGGAGAGAATGTTGCCCTTCCCTTCATATAAATATCATCTTGTGCTGTAGTTTCCTGACAATGAACCTTTCTCTTACTGCAATCTAGGCGTGTGTCCATCATATTACACTCAGAAAGTTTGGCCCACCCCATACATAAATACTATGGCCTTATCTGTGAACCATGGTAGTAATTTATTTATTTATTTATTTATTTATTTGCTTTTAAATAATAGGACAACCGCTTATTCCCATGCCAATTGACTTCTTTAGCCTCATTTCCAAAGGGTAGGCATAGCAATGTCTGAAGCCTCAGAGATACAATGTGGTTTCCCTTTGTTGAGAGTCCCCAGTTTCCATACAGTTATACTAATGGTGTGTTCATGACACAGATTTACTAAGTATGTCCAGGTTTGTTTAAATTCCACCAACATCAAAATGAGCTTGGTAATGGTTCATTTTATGTGTTAACTTGGCTAGGACACAGGGTGCTCAGATGTTTGTTCAAACTTTATTCTGGGTGTTTCTGTGAGGGTGTTTTTTGGATAGGATTAACATCTAAATTAGTGGACTTTGCGTAAAGAAGATTGCCCTCCATAATGTGAGTGGGCTTCAGGTCAGCTGAAAGTCTCAACAGAAAAAAAACACTGCCCACCCAGGAGCGAGGGAGAATTCTCCAGCAGATTGCCTTCGGATTTCATCTGTAGCATTGGCTCTTGTGGGTTCTGCAGCAGAATGCCTTTTGGACTGGAACATCAGCTCTTCCTGGGTCTCCAGTTTGCTGATCCACCCTGCAGATTTTGGACTTCCCAGAGTCCATAATAGTGTGAGCCAGTTCTTTATAATAAATCTTCATCAATGTATATGCATATCCTATTGATTATGTTTTTTTGGAAAACTCTGATAATACTAGCTTTGTTAATAAATAAACTAGCTGTCCATTTCATATTGTGGCTACATATAATAGAGCATTTCTTTGATATTCATTATTTATTTGTAAAATACATATATATATATATATATATTAATTAAAACTCATTAACCTTGTCAATTTGGGTGAATTCATGGCAGATGATGGACCACAAAACTCAAACCTTTCTAGATGGCTGAACTATAACCCTAAACTACTGATAGCAATGGATCAAGTTGAATTTAGTGTTTAAGAGACTGAAAGCCACAAAACCACATCAAGCACTATTGATTTTCTTTAAGTGCTGAAGCTTTTAAGGAAATCTTACAAAGAAGTGTATTGTACAAGACTGCCCCATCAATTTTGCTGAATTCTGAAAGTTGGATACAGTTTGGGAGAACTAAACAAATGGAGAGACCTTTGGGGTTAATAAAAGTAAAGTTCCCAAAGAATTGGTTCGTGGGAAATTGGAAAGACATCACAACCATTTAGCCTTGCTTCAGGGGAATGGTTGAAACCAGACATGCTATCATGCTGTCATCAAGGATAACAGAAAAAGGCTAAGATAGCACATGGACTGTCACGCTTCACTACTCTCCAAACACAGGGGACATGGCTAGCTCACCAATCATGCACTCCAGAACCACATCAGACATATGCATGACAAGAGCATCACACACAGGGCGCTGCTTTTACAAATACTGTCGCCATACTAAATGATTTGTTTCAACTTGCCATTACCTATGTTCCCTGCCTCCTGATAGTTTACTTTATACATAATATCCAATACATTATAGGGAGTATGTGTTTCCAAGGCCAATCACCAAGCCTAATATTGGTCAGGCTATCTAAATGTAAATTCAAGATGTTTAAAGTGTATCTGATGATAACTTGAATTAAAAAAATCATCTTGTGAACACAACGTCAAAAAAAAAATTAAAGATCGAAGTGAGGTTTGCTACTCCCTCACATCTGACTTACATATGGTCAGAATGCAAAATTACAAAAGTGGTGAATACACATAATCATAAGGCAGGTGAACATAGAGCTAAAACAAAGCTAGTTTTTCTTAGACAGTCAGAAAATACAGTATTTATCATTGAAGTTGACACATCCATCTATTTATTTTCAGACGATAATTGGAGACCTTTATCTTCTTCTTACTCCTTATTTGTATACTGTTTATATTGAAATATCTTCCATATCTAAATATTCCAAATTCTGCAGGGCTTTTTTCATAAAAATATTTTTTGCTTGATATTCTTCTTTACTTTATTAAGTAAATATGAATATTTGTTTTATACTTATTAAATTAAATATTTTATAGATATTTCTTAGAAATTGTTTTTACTAGAGTAGGAGATAGTTTAAAATTTAAATAAATGGCTTTGCATACAAAATATCTATTTGAAGGTAAATTACATTATATAGTGAGGATCCACAGTTTCCTATACAAGCAACATAAATGTTTATATCAATTTAATATTTAGTAAATATTAGACTTGTATAGAAATAAAACAGAATTTTCAGAATAACAAATATCATGAATGAAAAGGCACAAATATGTTTTGAGGAATATTTTTATACTTAAGATACTTACAGCCACGGGCACCATTCGTCTGAATTTCTCCAATAACACAGGAAAATTTTCATTATACGATAAAAACCAAGTTACATTCTTGGAATAAGAAAACTTCGCCCATTGATTTAAGCATGCCTATAACACGGCACACAGAAAGACTTAAAAAATAATATTTCTGTAAGTTAGAAAAAAAAGATCATTATTTAAATGGCAAAATATTTTTTGCAATTGTATGAGAGATAGTTGAACACATATTTGAATAAATAATGCATCGTGTAAACATTTATGCCTTCTGTAGGGACATTTTAAAAAATATTTTAATCTTTTAAATGGGTTATCTATATATGTAGTTACAAAACATTGTTTTCTATTCTATATTTACAAAGCGTAGAAGCTGATGAATACTAAAGGCAATTATTTTATTAAAGGTACATTAATATGTGTTTATTTAGTGCACCAAAGGGAGGGGTATGTTATTAAAATGTTATTAAACTTGTTCAGAAAAATAATATTTGTAATTTGGTAACCAGAGACAACTATATTTTAGGGGTAAGTGTGAAACCATAATCAGAAAATTTTAAACAGTAACTTTATTAGTTTTATAATTAAGAATTTCAAGAGAGAAGAGAAATCATATGTTAATCATTAAGCCAGAAAAAATGCATTTAAATGTTTCATACAAAAGTTGCAGCTGTTTTCATATAAGCATGTGTCTGTACTGTTTAACAGCAACAAAGGGAAAGTTGCAGAATTAGAACCAAAGAAGAACACTCAGGGACAAATGAACAGTCTGATGCCTTGAGTGTTTGAAGATAGAACTCCCAAGCCAGAAAGTAATTTTACATTTTTAGTCTCCTCTTTAACATGAAATTAGTCATATATATTATGCTCGTGCTATAAAGACTGATCATAATCACATATACTGATGAAGAGCCTTAAAATACTCCCTTTTTTGCTACTCTCTATAAAGTAACCAAGGGAAAGTAAGTATTTCTCTTATACGCATGAGAAGGCTGAGGTTAAGCAGCATACTTAAAAATAAAAAGCAAGTTAGAATAGCAGAGTGAGAATTACCTAAACCTATGTTTATAATGTAGCTTGAAGAATGTAAATGAGACATCACTGTGGATCCCAGATGACAAGGGTTCTCTTTGTTGTGCTATCAGATTTCATCCTATTGAGACATTTTCATCTCAGATTCTACTGGATGGATGATTGTTTTGAGATTCTTATGCAAGCAACTGTTTTACTATAGAAAAGTTGTACTCCTATATTCTAGTGTTCTGGAAGCATGTTATTGCCCATATATGCTTATATGAAAATAGGTCAGAGGCCCATTGACCTTCACATTCTTGCCTTTTATTGATATAGGCGATACTGTACAACAAAGGCAGCATCGATGCTCTCTTCAACATGACCCCTCCAACTTCAGCTTTGGGGGCCTGCTTTGTTTTCAGTCCCAAGGAAGGCATCATTGAACCAAGTGGAGTCCAAGCTATCCAGATCTCCTTCAGCTCTACCATCCTGGGAAACTTTGAAGAAGAGTTCCTGGTCAATGTCAATGGGTCACCTGAGCCTGTGAAACTGACCATTAGGTAAGGTACATTTATAATGAATGTAGAAACTAACAGAAGTTTTAACCTATTGCCTTTTTAGCTTTTTAAGTAGATCCTGTCTTGGATGCTGATGACTATCTTTGTTGATATGAACACATCAGCATAATAGAGTGTGTTAAATTTCCATCAGTGTTTCCCTAGTGAGCATGTATAAGTTATTATAGATACAGATGCTGTTTGGAGATCTAGTTTTTCTACAAGTTATAGTCTTATAAAATAAGGATTTAGACATTAAACTAGCTTCTAGTTACTCTCTATGTCTTAGGATGTTTAGAGAAAATAAGTTATTACAGTAACACCTGAATAAAATCATCTGGGCTAAGCTTTGGCCATTATCACAAAAAAAAAAAAAAAAAAAAAAAAAGTTGCAGCTGTTCCAGATGATTCTGAATAAAGTTCAGCAATGAAAATGTGATTTTTCCCCAGAAAATAAGTACTGTTACAGAGCAATTTTAGAGCTTCCTAACAGCTCAATTTTGAAAGAAGAGTTTAAAGAGTCAGTTTCTTATTAAAAGAAATATTTCAATTACTAGGAAAATATTGGTTTTATATCATTATTGAAGAGGTGATAAATTTTGAATGATAGGGTTTTGTAGAAAACAAGTCACTTTCTCCACTAAATAAAAAAAATTTAGCTCTCCAAAAAGAGGCAGTTAATTTCAGATTAAAGCTAGAAAATTGTCAGTGGAAAGAGAACTGTTAGTTGAGAAGAAGGCCTACTACATCTGCTATACTTAACACATATTTATCTGAATTATCAGAGTTCTGTAGGAAAGAAGTTGGTACTTCCATTGAATTAAAGTTGTGTTATTTATGTTAAGGGTCATGGCTATTTTCTAATGTGTTAAAAATTACTACATAATTAATATAGTCCATAATTAATATAATCCAGTTAAAAATATTGATACTATTTTCCCCTACCTCTTGTGTTCAATAAAGGAAGCTAGTCTTACTCAATAATATTTCTTTTCTTATAAATATACCTTAAATAAAGTTAAGTCATGAATACCAACTTGATGTACATGCTCAATCACTTTCGCAAATCCAAGACTTCATTGCCCTGTACACAACTTAGATTGAAAACCTCAGTAGAAAAAAATTTAATGGATTGCAATCTATTTTTCTAATTAAATCCTATAATTTCTCACGTCAATTCATGATTTAATATACACCTGCAGGACAGATTAAGATGCCAGCCCAGCTTTCCATAGCTGATTCACCATCTTGGGAGGCCCAAGTGTCCTCCAAGCATGGAAGTTTTGGGGATGTTCCAGAAGGTTTCAGGATGTCTTTTATAAGTAACAGGAAAAGAACAGTTTACTTTTGCCTTTGATGATGCCTGATACTAGCATGGGAGTTGAACATCATTTGGACTGAAGGTACACATTTGTCTCCTATGCACCGAGCCTCCTGAGATTCTTGCTATATCTCCCAACTGATTAACATGGTGTTCTACACTTGAGTGTTTCCGTAACTCTTCTCTTCTTGGACGCACACCACCCTTCTCCAGTATGACCCCATTTGACATAATCACATCTGCAAAGACCCTATTTCTAATTAAGGTCACACTATGAAATACCAACAGTTAGGACTTTAATATATCTTTTAAGGTAATACAGTTCAACACATAAACAAGCCTATTTATAAAGCCATTTTTTAAATAAAAATGGAATATGGTATAATAAATACATATACACATAAATAAAATATGTGTCTACATATTTATTATATGTTTATTATAAAATAATATAATTTATATGTTAATATATATTTATTATTATAAAATACTAAATATTGTATATATAGTATTATATATAAGACATAAATAAAAATATACGTATACACATATGCACATGTAAAATAAATCAAATGTCATCACAGATATATCAAAATATTGCAACCTGATTGAAAGGAAAATAGCAAGTAACTGCATCCCATTCAATATTGGGGTGCAGTTCCCATCAAATCTTTCTTCTGAGAACAAATTCTAAGTAAATACTTCAAAACATGGGGAAAAAAACTCCAAGAATGTTAATTGCTGAATTATTACAGTAAAAAAATCAAATCTTGGGTATGATTAAATAAACATAACGCACCTACTAGGTCTAATTTAAAATATCAAAATGTACACAACCATATGTAAAATTTGGGGAAGAACTGCATAGAACTACAAAATTTTGGATTTTACTGAAAAAATTATGAATAAGAGATTTCTTTCAATTTTCCAAAATTTCTGTATCATTGAATTGTCACATATGTGATTTATAAAACTTACATTAAGTTAGAAATTGTGATTATAAAGTTTTATAACCATGAAAGTTCAGAAACAAAATTTCTATTCAAAAATTTGTTGTTCAAACTATATTGAAAATAAGGTACTATAGGCTTCAGAGAAGTTTTCAAACTAATATTGTATTCACAGCATTTCAATCTTCTTATGGAACTCTACTTATTTCAGGATAATCCAGCACTACATGTAATTAACATAATAGATCCCTGATAAAAATGATCTTCCACTAGTAGAAACAAATGAAAGTGCCAGATAATTCGCTAATGAAAATATACCCGTTTTGAAGTTAAAAATATTGATACTAGTTTTTCTTCCTGCTTGAGTTCATTAAAATGCAAGATTATTTTACTTACTCAATAACATTCCTTTCCTTATAAATGTATCTGAAGAAATAAAGGTGAATAACGATGCCAACATGATAAATGTTTTAGGTTGATTTGTCACTTTGTATATTTATCTCCACCATTCTGGATCTGTTTGTGTGTTATTCAGTATGTTGATTTCTGTCTGTCTTGAAATACCATCCTTCTCATTCCCTTTATTATGTAACTGGCAGGGGCATAGCATGCTTTTTTAACCGCAAGACTCCTTAATCCTATTCCATTGTGTGATACTATTAAAATATGCTAACTAAGGTGAATTTAAGGAACAACATACAGACATTTTGAAAGGTTATGATCATGACAATCCATAGCTTTAGAGTTGGTTTAATTGAATTAATTGTTGCTCAAAAGAATCTGAGGAACAAAGAACTCAATGACTGAACATTTTCATGGAAAAATTTTTGACCTTTTCAATATCAATGCATTGATTGGCAGATTATTCTACTCTCTCACAACAAAAGAATTTTATAAGAAAAAAGTGGAGATAATATTTGAAAAGATAGAAAATCTATGCAGAAGAGGAAATACCAACGCATAATAGGATTCAGAAGGAATAGCAAGTATAACATTTTGTCATTTGTTATAGTCATAAAAATTCTAATTTACTTATTCTCATAACATTAAGAATATTACCTTCTATTATATTCTTAATTTATATCAGTGACTAGCTTCATTTTATCCAATGATGTCTCTGGTTTAAAAAGAGATTATTTTCTTTCTTTCTCTCTGTTGTGCAATTCTAAATAAGTATTTTATGAATTTATAATGTTTAACTCGGTTACTTTAATCTGCATCTTCAACAAACATGTTCTTTAGAAAATCACAAGGCAGAAATCAAACTGCACCACATGAAAGGCGGCAATAGGCTACTCAGAGGAAACATTGAGCAGAGTAGCCACCCCAGAGGTGACAATCAAGTTGAATGAAGTTGTTTACTTTCATAAACACACGGTACCCTCTAAGCTTGGCAATGACTATTGATTTCTACTTGGAATTTCTAACGTTCAGTGTAGCGTATTCTGCTCAAACTCATACATTTCTTTCAAAGGTTCAGATGTCATGTTCTCTGTGAAATTTTTCCTAACCTTTTCAAATTAAATTAGGGATTCCTTTTTTGAATTTTTCATTACCCACTACAGACAGTAGCTCCAAAATTGAATGTACCTTTCAGTGTTGTAATGTCATTATGTTTGCCTCCATGACACAATGAGCTCTTTCTGGTCAGAATCAGTACTTATGACACTATATTTTCAGTAGTGTAGAGTTGGCATTCAAATATCACTTTTTTTAAAAGGAATGAATGCAATGACACTTATTTAATATTTACCAGAGCATTTTGTCCTTGCTTTGTCTTCCATTTAAGTTTACAAGGCTGTTCACTGTGTATACAAGTGCTAAGTTTTATTCTCAAAACTATATTTTAAATATTTAAGTTGAATAAAGTAATTTTACTGTATATACAAGTGTTCACTGTACATAGAAGTGATACTTTTTATTCTCAAAAATATATTTTAAATATTTAATTCAAATAAAGTGATTTTGTTCAATGGAAGTAAAAGGAAAATCTATAACACCTCATATTTGGCCCAAAGTGCCCCCAAATTAGTAAACATCTTAGCTGTAAAAACACAAAAGCGAGTGAAGGGAAATAACTGTGTGCTTCGAGGAGCATCCCAAATGCTAACGTGAATTATAATGCATGTTAAATCCAAATTGACAAGTAGATCCTGATTTAGAAGTGACAAAAGAGACAGTAACAGGAGATGGGCAGTCAAAATCCGTCTTGCATTTGGCATTTACAACTAATGTTTATTCCTAGATGCTAAATGATATTGTTGTCAGGAATAGTAATTGTAAAAAGTAAAAAGAAATGTATTCTATGTTTAATGGATCCTGTATTTAGTGGATATTAACAAGAAGATGTCAATAAAAGTTGATAAAAATGAAAAGACATCTCTAAGTGTTCCTGTTTTTATTGATGAGTCACTTTTTGTTAGCACCAGATGAAATAACCACATATTTTCATAGAATTACATTGCTTCTTTAACCAATGTCTTTATCCTGGACTTACTAATTATCATTATCATAAAAGTCATTTGTCTTTTTCTATCAAAAAGTAGGATGGATATATGTAAGTGCAAGATGAAATGAGATATTCCATAAATTAAAGGGCAAGTACATAAATATGTCAACAAGAAGAGGTAAATAAACAAAGGAAAATAACTTCTAAGATTGCAGACCAAATATGGCATGATAGAGAACATAATTCTCAACAGCTCAAGGTTCTGGACATCAACCATCTAGATGCTTTCTATAAGTTTTTCAGGCATAAAAAATTATTACTTAGAAGAAAATATTTTAATGTTGGAATTTAGAAGGTGATGCTAGAAACTTTAAAGACTTTTTTTATGGTCAATTTTTAACTTTTACTTGACTTTTTTTTAGAATTGTCTGCTTTATGGGAGATTTTATATATATAATATATATAATTATATATATAATATAGGAATATATATGAATATTATATATACATTCACATATATATATATGAAACAAAAGCTTGGAGGTTAAATGACCCAGGTATTCAACTTGCAAATGAGAGAGAATGAAAGACAGCATGGTCTATAAGTTTTATCAACTCCATTTTATCTCTTAGCTGCATAATTTCTGACCAATTTTTAAATTGTGTGCAAAGCATCACCAACTGCATACTGTAGTAACTCTAAATCAGAATCGCTTTTTCGTTCCTTCGTTGTTTTAATCCACTATTTTTTTACTAACACAAAGAACTGAAACTAAAAAAAAATCAGTTGAAACGTGGATGCATTTGTTTTCTAATAATTTTAATTAAAAAAATTGCAGACCTTTCTTTTAGTACTGATGTAAACTATTACTTGATTTTTTGTTTTTAAACTACAAAGATTTAAAATGGATCTAGAATAATAAATAATGCTTTACCTCATCCAAGGTTATCTTTTTTATAACCTTTATTAATGCTAAGGTAAAATATACATTGACTATAAATAGATCAACAATGTTTTTACTACTCATACTATTTTACAAAAACCTTTAATTCATGAGGGAAAAGAAAGCAATATAATACGATATTTTCTTCAGGCCAAATAGCAGTAAAAACCTGATAATTAATGTGTTTACTTATTAATTTTTTTGCTTGCTTTAGAAACAGCCTGAATGAAGTATGTTATATGGCTTTATATATACGGCCTCATTGCTGAAATAATAAGAAAAATGAGATAAATGGTGCAAACACTGTGACAATATGGTGTATACTACTTTACTAAGCAAAACTTAGGAGTCTAAAGTCCAAATCACATTCCCAGTTCTCTTACAAGGCAATTGAAACTCAAATTATTTAGACATCTAGAGCACCATTAAGTACCAGCATGTTAACAGGGATGATACTATGAAAAGAGGAAAGATCTTTTTATTGCATCATTCTCGTTAACATTCTACTATTTAATGAGACAATATCTTGGTTACAAGACCTATACTTCCATCCTTGCGCCTTCACCAATGGACAGTCAGCTCCCACAAGTCATTTAACCTCCCAGCTTTTGTTTTCTCATCTAGAAATGATCACAACATTGATGACTCCTTGATGTTCTTACATGATAATGTAGCTCTATAAATAAAACTACCTGTGAGTTCACTTTTGAATTCTAATAAACATATCTTTCTTTGCTTAGAATTTTCTATTGAATTCTTTAAATAAGTTTTCTTCTCTTTTTTTTCTTTCCCATTCTCACTCAAATATTCAGAAATACAATGTTTTGTTTTTAATTTATTAGAACTTTTACTAGAGACAAATGCAGTCTCATTCCATGGTTTGTTTAATGATTTTCATATTTGGACTGGGAGTAATTCTGAACTCCTGCAACATCTCCCTCTTACTCATTGTGCTTTATTGGACATTTCTTTTTATATAGAGAAAGACAATTGAACATCACATCAGGGAACTCTGACCACAGATGAATACTAAACTGATCACTTGAAATAACTACCTCCTGTTGTGTCTTGTCTTTGGCATAGGACAGATTTTTTAAAAAAGTTAATTAATAAATTGATTCAGTGGTTAGTGAGAATTAATTTATTTTCTTATAAATTAATCAATTAATTCAGTGGTTGGTGAAATTGTATGAACACCCTACTATCATGCCCAGTTTTCACCATGCGGTATGCATTTATCAGAAGTGGATACTGATTTTATAGCTTTTATCTAACAAAAGAAGCTTTCATTTATAATACAACCATCAGGATGTTGTAGGCAGTAGTTTCTGATTTTTTCAGAACAGAAGAAATTTCTCTTCTGTATATGAAAAGTTTCCCTCTTCTTTTTGTTTTTAGCCTTTTAATATTTTGTATATCCCATGTTAGCTGATATACTAAGATTTAGTACATGTAATGAATCGCATTAACACGCAGTGTACAACTCACAGCAAGATATAAAATGAAGTTCGAGGGCACATTGTGTTTGTTGAGGTTTTGATGACAACATTTTCATATCCATTAATAGCATTTTGTGACATCAGGGCATAATTGTATGCAAAATAAATCTTTATGGAAGTCAAAACTGAAAACAACATGTCGCAATTTCTAATGGCTCACTGCTATTACCCATTTGTTTCTTAAGAAAAAACATCAATTTCAATAAAATATCAAAGCCCTTAAAGCAACTCTTTTCTACTTATTTCTTCATATTTAATAAATTACCACAAGTCACTGCCTGAAGTGATAAGATTTCTCTGTAGCCAGATTACTTTCATTTTCAACTATAGATTGCTCATTTTTTTTTTCTTTTGGCCAAATAAGATTAGGCTAAATCAATCAGAGACCTCCATTAATAGACAAAACAATATATCTTCAGCTGCTGAATTATTTCTTGTATAATGTCATTTGTGGAAGGTATTGTGAGTCCCTTGTTCCCAAGTTTGTTTTCTATAGCATTAGAATAGCTGGATTCTGACCATTACATCTAATTAATATGTAGGCCAAATTTCATTTATTAACTTAAAAACATGCATCCCATGTTCAAGTTTTGTTGGCAAGCTTTTTAATTATCTGTTTTTTAAATGATAAGTTGACTTGCGAGATTCAAAGACGATTATTACTTTTTATTTTCTAGCTTCATAAGAAGTCATTTTGTACATAATTTTAAGCCTACTAGTAGCTCCTCAATTAAAAATCATGATGTTCCTTTGAATAATACAATCATTTTATTCAACTTTTACTCTAAGTACCATCAATTTAAAATTCCCTAAGAATATTTTGTTCATGACTTTCTTAAGGTTTTTACTTCTAAAATAAGGGCTACAGGAGACAAATTATATTTTATATATTTGAATCTGCATGTCTTTCAATAGGACAAATATATGGTTAGAAAAATGAAGCAGATATAAAAAATAATACTTCTCCCTTGAAGATATCAACATTCCTTTGTTTGATACCTGATGTAATAGAAATCCAGAGAATTTTCTTAGATTATATGTGAAAGCAAACCAATTAAAACACTTTGACTTCCCAAATAAAAACAAAAATCTCTGCAATTTATGATAAAAATTTCAGTAATTAAGGCCACTAAAATTTGTGCTCCATTTGAAATTATCTCAAATAGGTAAAATATATGTGGTTTCCTTCTGTATTTTCATACTTCATGCTTAAAAACCTGGGGATTTATATTATGAAAGTGTTCTTACAAGTACATCTGTTGTGATGTGACTATCCTTATATACTGGAATACATGTAAACCTTTGTAATATTTACAATTTACAACTTTTAAAACAATGTAATGAATCAAAATGATATTTTAAATTAATTTGTTGCATTTCTACTTCAAAAGTTTTAGACTGAATGAATATGACTTTGCAGCTTTATTTACGTGAAGTTAATGGCAGTCTAATTCTGATATCCCACACCACTGTCAAATGTTATTTAGGATAACATTATTTGCTTTTAATCCAAAGCCCTCATGAACTTTTAGTCTTGAGCAGGTACCACTGGGGAAAATGATAAGCAAAAATAAGGTCAAAACCATAAAATAAAAGCAAACCTAAATAAACTTATCGTACAAATTTTATAATATCAGATAATACTCTTAGTACTAAAATATAAAATTCAGACAAGCTGAATGTCGGTGTGTCATAAACTATGCTATTTCATAAGATGAATAGCTTTAAAGTAACATGAACATTTTAAAAAGTAAATATATTAGATATATAGTAAATAAGAGGTGTTTACATGTGATATTTTACCCCAAAGTCTGCATGGTTGTATTTGTATAAAAATTAATTTTGTTATTAATCTTTTTAGAAATAAAGTCCATAAAGAGCTGAGGTATTAAATTACTAGTCTCAATCACCAAACTAATGTGAGTAGTATCTTTTAAGGAAGACAGAGAAGTTTAATAAGACACATTTAGCTTTAAATTCTTAATCACTATCTAGAAAAATAAAATAAAATAAACTCCAAATGGGCAGGATTCTTCATTGAGTTTGTTCATTGGTGATATTCATATGCCTTAAGCAGTCCAAGGACAAAGGGAATACCAAAAAGACATTTGTTGAATGACTGCACCTGTGTCTTTTGGCATGTTAATTGATTTTTCTGTGTATTAGAGTTAAGTAATGCCACCCAACTCACTGAGCTGTTGTAAGAATTAAGACACTACAGAAAATGCAGTTAGTGCCACTCTCTTAGCTGGGTTTGAAAACACTTGAGACATTAGTTCCAGATATGCATTTTAATAAAATATTCTTGCTCTTATTTAAAGTCTTCATGAAAAACAAATCTAGGCTCCAGGTTATGCTAGAATAAGGTAACACTTTTAGGCAGGTTTTTTACTGTTAACCTTCAAGTTATAAAAGAAAATACCTCTTTACCTTTAAAAGGAGACGGATCCTAGTGTAATTCATGAATATTAATAACTATGTGATGCAAACTGTTAAGTTCTTTACCAACATTAACTCTTTTAATACTTATTCTTTTAGAATATTTAATACCCACATTAAAAATGTAAAAACGAAAAAAGTAAAATTAATGTTGAGAATATGTGTTTTTAAACCAGTAAATCCAAGTTATTACTCTAACATTTAATCAATATAAGAATCATGATTGAGAAGTTTTACGTTATTTTTGTACTTAGTTTTTGAAAGTTGATGTGTTCTTTATACATAAAGCACATCTTAATTAAGATGTTAAATTTTCATAGAGATATAATTGATCTGCCTTTAGATTTTATAAAGTTTAGTTGAAAAAATGGATTCATATAGTCAAGGTGTTCCAAATATATGCTTTCTAATAACTGAATAGAATATTAGTTTTAATTTTACATAAAATTACTTAAGGTAAATACAATCCCATTGTATTGTTGCAAGTGCTTAATTGCTGCATGGGGCTAGTGGCTACCATACTGCAAAGTACAGAAGTATGATAACAAGACTGACAAACAGGATTTTAAAAATACATATAATGAATGAATTAATGAATATATGACCTTTTAAAGTATGTCTTTCATTTAATAGAACTAGAATTTCCCCACTCTTGTGTCCTTTTATATCAGCTATTTATACCAATGTTTTCTAAAGAATCACAATTTTACCTCATCTGTTTGTCAGCCTAAAGCTCTCAGTCTTCACCAAAGTATGCATAGGAAAATAACTTGATTGATAATGATTGTATATCTGACTCTGTCTCCAAGTTAACTCATATTTCTTTAATAGATGGAAACATTTTCCATGTTCATATGTACATGCACAATGTGCAGCCTGTGTGTGTGTGTGTGTGTGTGTGTGTGTGTGTGTTTCGGGAAGTGCTTATTAGCACTTCAAAGAGTAAAAGCTAAAACTGGTGGACTATTACAAGGGTTTTAAGTTATAGAATTAACATGTTCCACAAGAAAACATACATTCAGGTTTGAATAAAAGTCTTTTTTCATATAGAGGGTTATCTATCTGCAATAATTTAACAGCAAATGCTATTGTGATTTATGAACATGGAAAAGTGTGGACATTTTTTAAACTGTCAAAAATTAAAATAATGAGAGTTAATATAGAAGGCAAAACTAATTCACATTAATTATTTTAGACTGTGTCCTTATTGATTATTGTACTCACAGTATTTTTGCATCAAGCACTCAATGTAATGGTGTCTACTTTGACATCTAGCCAAGTTTAATCTCATTCTTCATGTCTTTGCCTTAGCAT
The DNA here is from genome assembly GCF_000001405.40 of Homo sapiens. NCBI lineage: Eukaryota > Metazoa > Chordata > Mammalia > Primates > Hominidae > Homo > Homo sapiens. The sequence goes on from NC_000003.12 coordinate 80,453,218, forward strand.
CCTAAAGATGTAATTCATTTGTTCTATGTTAGCATTATAAATTTGTAATTCATTTGTTCTATGTTAGCATTATAAAAAAGATGATAAATTTTAAAATTAGAATATATGGTTGCCTTTGATGGACAAGTGAAGATTGAAATTATAAGATGTCCTCTTTATAATTTAGCAAATGTGTTCAAACATTGCCATTTTTATTTGCTGTGAAACCAAGAACAATCTCTCAACTACAAATTGATTCTGCCTGGTCACTCAGCTGGTGGAGCACTGGTAATTTACAGAGAGATGATTGTACATTTACTTACAAATTTCCTCATTCTTAGGCAAGTGAGGATTCCAAAGGCAATACAACTACTCACCATTCTGTGTACACTCTGACATTTCTAAAATAACTCAAAATGGAATTCTTGTCTCTGGAGTTACTGGCTTCAGTAGGATCCAGTGATATACCTTTCACTTTCTATAAAAGTCTAAGTGAGATTTTAAAGATCAATGTAATAACCCCTAAGCAGAACAAAAGGAGAGCTAAAACTGTTATTTTAACAAAAGGTGCAATAATAAAAATGCTTATTTTAAAAATTATAATGGGTTGACAACAACTGTGATTAATTTGAATGCTTGAAATATACCATAACCTTTGCTTACATTTTTAACCCCTTTTTGAACATAATAAAGAATCTTGTTTGGATTTCAAAAAAAAAAAAATCAACCAAAACGGAACACACCTTATAATTATAATCCACGCTCTTTTCTTTGGAAACTAAGATTTTTGCAATAAGGATAATATTTTCATTCAGTCTCCAACATAGGTAAGTAATAAATATTCTCTAAGAATGAAAAAATTAAATAGGGTTGGATTGAGTTGAGCTTAATGGAATGGATACTTTATGACTATAAAACTTCCTTATTTTGGCCAGGCCTGGTGGCTCACGCTGTAATCCCAGCACTTTGGGAGGCTAAGGCGGGCAGATCACGATGTCAGGAGATCGAGACCATCCTGGCCAACATGGTGAAACCCTGTCTGTATGAAAAATACAAAAATTAGCTGGGCATGGTGGCGGGCGCCTGTAATCCTAGCTACTCGGGAGGCTGAGACAGGAGAATAGCTTGAACCAGGGAGTTGGAGGTTGCAGTGAGCCGAGGTGGTGCCACTGCACCCCAGCCTGGCAACAGAGCGAGAATCTGTCTCAAGAAAACAAAACAAAACAAAACAAAAAAAACCAAACTTCTTTATTTCAGTAAGATTTTAAACATAAAAAGTAAAAGATAATTTATTAAAATCTTTAATAAATATATGAAATATGTATTTTTAACCTGAAAATCTCTCCAAATCAATTAAAAAACCCTCCTGTGGAAAAAAAGACAAAGAATGGCAAAGATAATTTATGAATTATGTACAAACAAAATATTTTCATTCTCATAATAACCAAAAGAAAAAAATAAAAAATAAACAATAATTTTTTAAATTTTAAAATATCCATTTGTTCTTTTGCCTTTGGGTAAAGGCAACTTCAGATTTGTTTCTTATCTCTATAGATTAAGGTGGCTTTGTATAATTTTACTAAAATGGTACCATACAGAATATTTAATTTGGTGTCTGGCTTATTTTACTCAGCATAATAATCTTGAGATTGATCAATGCTATTAATTCATTTTATTTTTATAATTATATACTTTATTACATGTAAATATGTCATGCTAAACAATACTTGATATGACAATATGCATATGCATATGTATATATTTACATGTTCTTTTGCTATTGATTATCATTCTCATTAGAGTTTCATCACAGTGGAGTTAGTCAGAAATTTTGTCAATGCCATTAACTGTTTTAATCCAATGGCTAACATAATGTTTGGCACATAATAGGCAATAAGTAACTGTTAAAAGTTTCTTCAGTGCATTTACTTATAAAACTTTGTATCCATATCGAATTATTTTCTTAGAAGAAATTTCAAAATATGAAATTATATACTTCAAAATTACAGACTTCAAAAGGCAGGACCAACTCTCCATTAACAGGTGAATGGATACATAAAATGTGGTATACCCATATGTGGAAATCTTGCCTAATGTTTGGAGAAGTTTAAGTAAAAAAGTAACATGACTTACAATTTTAAGATATGATTTTGCTTTGAAGAATTTGTATCAAGGATGTGTGTGAAAGATGATTGATTTATGTATCATCTATTTGCAGAAATATGCAATCATATATATATGTGAAAAACACCATTAAAAGACAACATATTACCTATTATTATTCAGTTTATCAGAATGGTACAACAATAGATGGTGATTGTGTCTTTTTAAAAATTCTTTTTCACCCTTTTTTATGTTCTTTTAATTTTCTACAGTGAAAATCAGTCTCTTTTATAATAGGAAAATGCAGGCCATTTAAAATTGTTTACTCAAATATATAGTTGTACTTATATTTATTTCCTAGGAAATTGAAAGTGTGACTGATAATTATTTGAGTTTTGTTGGGACTAAAGCATCTGGACAGGCTATCCACAAGATAAGGAATATAAATGGCCAATAAAGAAGAAAACTGTTCAGCCTTTCTAATAATCTAAGTAGTACAAAATTAGATTAAATAAGAGTGAGCTACCACTTAAACCCACTGAATTGTTAAAAATAAAATGAATGTAATTCTTTTGTTGTGTGATTACTATTTCTGTGACTTAAAAAATATTCATAATTATTATGCTTATTAGACTGTGGTCAGAAAACCAAAGAAATTGATTTCTTGTAATGTTTATAATACATTGTTTAGTATACAGAAAAAGCAAACACAATGTGTCTATGTGTAAAAACTAATAGTGGCAATCTCTGTTGGATGAGAGTACTGATAATTTCATTTCTCATGCATGCTTTTATTTTTTTTGCCAAGTTTTTAAAAACATATGCTGTTCAGAAGTGAAGAAAAAAATCTTATAAATTATTTTAATATATTTAAATGCTGCCTTTTTGCATTGTATTCATAAAAGCCCATTCAATATATTGTTTTAAGACTATTGCCATTTTGTTTCCTGGCTTCAGTATCACCTAACACTGATTCTGTCTCAGACTATTTTCTATCATGTAGCAATATTTTTCCAGTTCATAGACATCCTAAAGTCTACTTGTAAAATATTTCCTCTATTTTCTGATCTAAATACAAGAAGCTCTTCTATTCTATGATTTTCTGCAAGTTGCTTATGCTTTATGAATATCATTTCTCTTATCTATAAAATGGAAAAAATAGCACTATGAATGCAGTAGACTGAATGCAAAAACTTCATTTTAATTATAGCTATCATTAATTGAGTATGTATTACATGTCTAGAATGAAACTAATTGCTTTACAAGGTTTATTTTATTAAATTTTAATTACAAATATAAAAGACTTGCTGAAATTCAGCTTCTTCTATTGCTGAAAAATAACTTTAACTAGTCATTCAAAAGTGTTACGAGCCCTAATAAACATTCAGTTTTTACTAACTCTTAGTTTCCCTGAGCGTCCAGTGTTGCCTAACATTATAAATATTTCACTTATGTCCTCTAGTGATTGTGATGATTAATTTTATATGTCAATTTGGCTTGACAATGTTGCTTAGGTTTTTGGTTAGACATTAGTCTAAATATTGATGTAAAGGTATTTTGTAAATGTAATTAACATTTACAGTTATTTGACTTTATGCAAAGCAGATTATCCTCCATAATGTGGTTAGGCCTCATTCAATCAGTTTAAGCTCTTCAGGGCAAAAGTCTTGAGTGTCTCAAGCATGTAAGATAGAAATTCTGTCTGAATTTCCAGCCTGTTTTCTGCCTCACCAATTTTTGAGTTGCCAGCATACACAATTTTGTGAGCCAATTTCTGAAAATCAATCAATCTCAATTTCTCTCTCCCTCACTCTCTCTCTCTCTCTCCCTCTTTCTGTCCTCTCCTCCCTCTCAGTTGGTTCTCTTTCTCTACAGAAAGCTGATACAGTCATCATATAAGGATACTTTATACAGAAAACTTCATATACAAAAGAATAGTAATATTAACTCTAGTCAAACAGCTGACCAAACTTTGCTTGATAGGCAAATAACACAAATAGAATCAATATTATGCTAAAAGAAAAAGACAAACAAAAAATATGAGGGTTCTCTATTTCTGACATAAAATGAATGCTTGCAAACTTCATACTATATCAGCTACTTCACATGGATTAATAAAGTTACATAATGTAATGAGCTCTTGGTGTTTTCTTCATTCTTTGCTCTGCAATTTCAGGGAAATCAATGGAAAGTATACTCACTCTATGGCTTTTAAATGTGAATCTTCATTTCTGAAACATATTCTTCCCCCCTGTAAAATGAAGGAGGTTGCACTAGAAGGCTACTAGGACCCTAAATCTACTTTCTGGTAACTACATTTATGCTCATAGTGAAAAACAAAGAAATTGTTTTGTATTAATCCTTCATTCTGGTAATTAATATATATGAATGCTTGCTTTGTGGATGCCTGAAAAGAATATTTTCTTCCTCAGAAAAATAATTACTATAAAGGAAGTAATTAACTTTTTCTTTGAACTCAACCTGGAAACATTCAACAATCTTATAGAAAATATCCATTCAAACATCTCACTCAAGATTTGTCTCTTTCTATTACAGTGAATTTCATTACTTTTATTGAAACCATGAGAGGTTATTTTAAAAATTTAAAAATTTCATTCATACTTATTCAGCACCAGGAAAGATAAATTCAATAGTATTAGCCAGAATGAATTCTTTATTATATTTCTAATTGAGAATCAGATATCAATGCCATGTTTTTAGAACTTTCAACTTTTTCCTTTTCCACTTTATTCTTTTAAACATCATTATTAAGCTTTTAATTACTAGATACAATATATAGAGATAAAGCTCCTCAAATATTAGTAATATAATCATAAAAATGATGATCCAATTATGACATCAAAGATTCACAGTGTTATCACAAATTACTATATGGCAAAATAGCACTTATGTTAAAAAAGCAACATTATATTTTGAACTTGCTTTAATGATCATTATACTTAATAGCCTATCATCATTTCTTTATAAACTCAATAAGTGAGATGCATATAACTCATTTTAATCATCTCATAGTTGAAACTCATTAAACTGGGTAAAAGCTATCTTCCAGATAAATGCAGAATCTTTTTTCTCTTCAGAAACATTGTTTAAAAATCGAACGATATTTAATTTTTAAATTAAAATTTTAGAAGACCAAATAATTTCCTTATGATGCCTAAGTTATTTTCTAAAGATTTCAAAACACAAATAGAAAATATTTTTAAAACATAGCTTTTCCTGTTGTTTGCTAAATCATGTGAACTTGTTATAAAATGTGAATGAGAATGAGCTATGCTTTCCTAGAAAGATCCCTTATGCACAGCCTTGGTCTATATACAGATTACACAGGACATTGTTTAAGAAGGTATAGAATCATTGAAACTATGCATTACATTGTCAGCAAAATATAATAAAATAAACAAGCAATACTAACTGTTAGAAGTCATAGGAGAGCCTGTTGTTTGGGTAGAAGTGTCCTATTGAATTAAAGAGGAATATTTGAAAGATATAAAAATCCTGTTATTTGAAATAAAAATCTCTGTTAGGAAGAGCATATATTTCTTTTCACGGGCTCTATTGTATCAGATGAAATTATCTCTTGCTCCAGATCTTCAATTATACATTGAAGTCATGTTTAATAAGTTGTTATAAATTAATGCTTATGATTATTATAAATTATTCAATTTTAAGTGTTCTGAAGTAAATATTATAAAAATAAATAATATGTATACAATGAAACTTGTATTTTCATACAAATTGCCAGACTTACCAAACCAACTGAAAAAGTTTCAACAATAATTTTTCTCCTATGTAAGATGTTTCCATGTCACAAACACCTCAAGTCCTCTCTAGGTGACATCTATTTAATTCTGTATAGTTATATATCAATGCATCTGCAAGATTTAAAGCTGACATAGATTTCAAGAGACATATTTCATCTACTTAATATCAAGAATTAATAACATGGTGCAAAGCTTAGTATGATTTCATTAAATAAAAGCATGGTCAAATGTATTTTTTTCTATAACTTTATCAACTACACCAATAGCAAGGACTTAATGGGAGCCATTAGCAGTCATGTCACTCTTTCCTTTAATTCATTTGCGCTTATAACCTGTCCTATTTGTAGTTATTTTGACTTATTTTCCTGACACTTGGGAAATAACTTTAGTTAGACCCAGGAACATTTCATAGATGACTTCATCTAAGTGAAGGCATCTTTACTTTCAAAATTTACATTCTAGATTATAACTCTTCTTTGATTTATTCAATAAATTTTTCACATCTCTATTCTATCTCTGAAATATCTCCAATTTGTTTGTCTTTTTCGTCTTCACAATGCCACTGAAGTTCAGGCTCTTAGATTTCTGAATTAAACTTATAGGGTACATTTCTCATCAATTATCCTTTCTTGAGAATATTTGTTTATATTATTTGCCCGCCGAAATGAAAATTATCTTCACAACTTATACATGCGACTATTTACTCTCATCTAAAATAATTATTCAACAACTTTCAATTGCTGCATGAGAAAGTATAGAATTTAAGCTACACTTAAATTATCTTTCCAATTATGTTTCCCACCTAACTTTTGAAAATGCATTTTTTATCCCAGTATGTTTGGTTACAATATAATTTATAAAAGAAAATTGCATACATTCATCGAGTACAACTGTTATAGTGTGGATATTGGTCCCTCCAACAGCAAGTTGAAATCTGATCCTCGTTATTGGAGGTGGGGTCCAGTGAGAGGTATTTGGGTCATGGAGGAAGATCCCTCATGAGTGGCTTGGGTGCCATTCTGAGGGTAGTGAGTGAGTTCTCACTCTATTAGCTCCTGAGAGAGATGCCTGTTAAAAAGAACCTGGGCCAGGCGCGGTGGCTCATGGCTGTAATCCTAACACTTTGGGAGGCCGAGGAGGGTGGATCACTTAAGGTCAGGAGTTCAAGACCAACCTGGCCAAGATGGTAAAACCCCATCTCTACTAAAATACAAAAATTAGACGGGCATGATGGCGGGTGCCTGTAATCCCAGATACTCAGGAGGCTGAGACAGGAGAATCGCTTGAACCCGGGAGATGGTGGTTGCAGTGAGCAGATATCGCGCCACTGCACTCCAGCCTGGGTGGTTGAGCGAGGCTCCGTCTCAAAAAGAAAAACAACCTGGCACCTGCCCCTGACTCTCTTGCCACCTCTTGGTCCACATGATATCTGCACATGCCAAATTCCCTTTGTCTACTGCTGTAAGTGGAAGCAGCCTGAGGCCCTAACCAGATGCTGATGCTGGTGCCATGATTCTTGTACAACCTGCAGAATCATGACCCAAATCAACCTATTTTCTTTACAATTACCCAGCCTCGGGTATTCCTTTATAGGAACACACAAACAAAGACAACAACATTATGTTTGATATAAGTAAACATTGTGAAATGGTTAAATCAAGTTAATTAATATATTTATTATCTGAAACACTATTTTTTGCAGTGAGAGCATTTAAGATATATTCCTATAGCAATTTTCAAATACACAATACGTTACTGTTGACTATAGTCCACCATACTAAGTGACTAAGTACAACTTAGTTGTTCTATTTAGTTAAAACTGTACTTTTTGGGCAATATCTTCCCATTTTAGCATTCTGTAAGTTCCATATATTAGATTCCACATATAAGTGAGATCATGCAATATCTGTCAGTCTATGGCTGGTTTGTTTCACTTACCATAATGTACTACAGTTTTATCCATGTTGTTGCAAATGCCAGGATTCCCTTTCTTTAAGACTGAATAATATTCCAGACTGACCAATCCAACTGAAAAGTTTCTTTTTCTTCAAGGCACATATTTTATGTATGTGTGAATGGAATCAAGTGGCTGGTGGATGAATAAAGAAAATACAGCGTGTGTACACACACACACACACACACCCCATTCATCAACAGATACTTAAGTTGATTCCATATCTTGGCTGTTATGGGTAATGCTGCAACGAACATGGGAGTGCAGATACCTCTTCAACATACAGATTTCAATTTCTGATATAGATATATCAGATATAGGTATATACATATATCCCTTAAGATATATATCCAGTAGTGAGATTGCTGGATTATGTGGTAGTTCTATTTTTAATTTTTTGAGAAACATCCATACTGTTTTTTTTTAAATAATAGCTCTACTATTTTACATTTTCCCCAACAGTGTACAAAGGTTGTCTTTTCTGTATATCCGCACTAATATTTATATATTTTTTGATAATAGCTATTCTAACTCCTGTGAGGTGATATCTCGTGGTTGTAACATATACTTTCCTGATGATTAATGTTGAGCATTTCTTCGTAAAACTATTGGCCATGTTTATGTCTTCTTCTGAGAAATATCTATTCAGATCTTTTGCTTATTTTTGAATCAGGTTATTTGCTCTCTTGCTATTGAGCTGGTGCCTTATATATTTTGGATATTAATCCCTTATCAGATAAATGTTTTGCAAATTAGGCACTTTAGCTCCCCCACGCGTTTTCTCATATTTCGTCCTGTATCTAAAGCTCATAGCGTGTGACTCTAGTTTCAGTAATCTTATGTTTGTGGAGCCCTCTGTCTGAGATATGGACAAGGTAAGAATAACAGTATCAAATAAATTACTTTTTTTGGCCCTGTTTTAAATTTTTATTTGTTTAATGTTTGTTCTTAATTATTTAATTTTTTTCTTATTTAAATGTTATAATTTATTTTGGCTAATGGTTTAACAAACTCCTCCTGTGTTCTTCATGGGATCACCTAACACCTCTTGTAGTTAGGTATGGCCATGTGACTGAATTCTGGCCATGGGAATGTGGGCAAAAGTAAGAACGGAAAACTTTCAGCCTAACCTATACAATTGGATATACAATACTTCACATTCACTATTCCCTCATTTCTCTGCCTGGCTAGATGTGGAGTGCCGGTAAGGAAGCTCCAAGGTCCTAGGCAATGGCAGCCTCAGAACAACTAAGAATTCAATGATTGCGTAGAAGAAAGTCTGCTAATAAATAGTACAAACCTAGTATAACATATACATGTTTACTGCATTAAGGTACTGAGATTTTTATTATTCCAGCTGGCCTGTCCTGAACCATAAAAATCTCCAGGACTATTTAAAGTGCGTTACACACATATTTCATTATCCTTCTATATGAACTCGTGAATATTGTTGAAATAAACTCAAGTAAAAATGTAATATAAGAACTATTTTCTGTTTTAGTTTATATCTACATCTATTAACAATAAATGTATGTCTGTATCCATAGATTCATTTATCAATAAATATACTTCTGTATATCGCTCTGTCGCTCAGGCTGGAATGCAGTGGCACGACCTCGGCTCACTGCAACCTCCGCCTCCTGGGCTCAAGCGATTCTCCTGCCTCAGTCTCCGGAGTAGCTGGGACCACAGGCGTGTGCCACCACTCCCTGCTAATATTTTTTGCATTTTCAGTAGAGACAGGGTTTCCCCGTGTTAGCCAAGATGGTCTCCATCTCCTAATCTCGTGATCAGCACCCATCGGCTTCCCAAAGTGCTGGGATTACAGGTGTGAGCCACCACGCCCAGACCATACCTAAATAATTTTAGGCTAACTGACATTTGCCTATAACCCTAAGTATGCTTTTATTCTAAGCAAACTTTCATCATATTTATTACATACTTACGAAATGAACTTTCAAATCATATATTAATTTTATCCTTTTACTTGAATTATATAATACCATTTAAATTAGAAAGGATTTATAGCCAGGGAGATCTGAGTAGAGATTTGATCTCACAACATTCTATTTTAACTTTATTGTGCCTCAAACTCATAAATTTTAAAATTATTACTTCAGTAACTATGTATTTTATTAAGATTATTAGTACATGAAATAAGATATATAAAAAATGATCACTATTATTATAACTAGTAACCAATTTGTGGCAACTCTCTTAACTTTAAGTACCTAACCTACTTGACTGTCCCCAGCTGAGTTAGTGAACATGTGACGTTCATCACTATAGCTTTGATGTAATAATAAACACTCTCGTTTTATTATAAACATAGTAAAAATTTAATAATACAATAGATGTGTTATTACATGTGAACTGTTAATAAACACTGTATTTATCACTTTTGCACTGAGCTAAAAGTAGGAGAAGTCATTAAATACTACATTTATTAATTTAAAAAATAATCTCATTTCAAAATATGGCTTTACCACCTACGAGCTATTTAGTTCAGGAATTTTGTGACTCTTAAATTTCCTCATCTAACAATATTTATATCAATACTTATATTCAGGGTTAACTTTCAGATTACATAAAATATTTTATTATGAGTTCATAATGTTCTGCCCAGTACGTACTAAGCACTCAGCAAATGTTGGTTCCCTCCTCATTTTCCTTACTGCTGTCTTTGACTCAACTTTCCCGATAGTGTTCATTTCTTTCCATTCTTCACCTCATTCTTACCTAACATAAATTTACATTATCCAAATACCACAATTCCAATGAATGTAACAGAAGAAAAAAAATTTACAGACATTTATTCAAAAAGATAGGTTTAAGTCCTAATAACAAATTAATGTATTGTATGTTGGACCTTTCATGTTAGTGCATGGGAGTTTCTACTATTTACCAGAAAAAATCGTCTTTAATGCCATGCTATGTTTAAATTCCATAATAGCAATGGAAAAAATATATAGTACTTCCTATGTGCAAGGCATTTTTCTAAGTGTCTTTTATATATTAATCTATTCAGTTAACCATCCTAAATCCTGTGAAATTAGTAAGGGGATCTCAGTTTCTCTGAAAAGCAAGTCTGAATTTGTGTTTTCAACAGCCTGGGTTTTTTGTTTGTTTGTTTCTTTTTTTTGTTTTGATTGATTGTCCGCTAGCATACTAGTTAACCATTCTAACCATGTAAAGTAAAATAATGGCAGGAAATGTTCCCCATTGCTCTTTTTCTATGGCTGCCTAGAATTCCATGCTGTGTATGTACCGCATTTTCTTTATTCAGTACGTCATTGGTGGGCACCTAAGTTGATTCCATGTTTTTGCAATTGTGAATAGTGCTGTGATGAACATTAAAGGACTTCAGTCTTTTTGGTAGAATATTTCTTTTGGATATACACGCTTTCATGGAATTGCTGGATCAAATGGTAGCTCTGTTCAAGTTCTTTGAGAAGTCTCCAAAATGCTTTCCATAGAGGCTGAACTAATTTACATTCCCACCAACAGCGTATGTGTTCCCTTTTTTCCACAGCCTTGCCAGCATCTGTTATTATTATTATGTTTTACTTTTCAATAATAGCCATTATAAGTGGTGTGAGATGGTATTGCATTATTTTAATTTATATTTCTCTGATGATTAGTGAATTAGTGACATTGAAGATTTTCTCATGGTTGTTGGCCACTTGTATGTCTTCTTTTGAGAAGTGTTTGTTCATGTATTTTGCCTCCATTTTAAACAGGATTGTTTTTTGCTTGCATGATTGTTGAAGTTTCTTAAAGGCTTTGGATATTAGATCTTTTTCAGCTGCATAGTTATCAATTTTTTTTTCTATCTACTAGGTTGTATGTTTACTTTATTACCAGTTTCTTTTGCTGTGCAGGAGCTCTTTAGTTTTATTGGGCCCACTTCTCAATTTTTGTTTCTGTTGCCATTGCTTTTGAAGAATTAGTCACAAATTATTTCCCAATGCTGATTTCCAGAGCGACGTCTCCTAGGGTTTCTTGTACGATCCTTTTAGTTTGAGTCCTTACATTTAAATATTTAACCCTTCTTGAGTTAATTTTTGTATATGACGAAAAGAAGGGGTACAGTTTTATTTTTCCACATATAGCTAGTCAGCTATCTGAGCACCATTTACTGAATAGGGAATCCTTTCCCAATTATTTGTGCCAAGTTTGTCAAAGATAAGAATGGCTGTAGGTTTGTGGGTTTATTTCTGGGTTCTCTCTTCTGTTCCAACTGTGTACATTTCCATCTTTGTACTAGCACCATATGATTTTGTTTACTTCAGCATTGTAGTATGTTTTGAAGTCCGGTAATCTGCTGCGTCCATCTTTGCTCTTTATTTTTCTTTAGGATTGCTTAAGCTATTCAGGCTCTTCTTTTGTTCCATGCAAATGTTAGAATAGTTTTTATTGTTGTTCTTTCTTCTACAAAGATGGCATTGGTAATTTGATAGGAATAGCGCTAGCTCTAGATTGTTTTGGGCAATATGGACATTTTAACAATATTGATTCTTCCAATCTATGAGCACAGAATATTTTTCCATTTGTTTGTGTTATCTGTGATATCTTTCAGCAGTGTTTTAAGTTCTCTTTGCTGAGATCCTTTTTTTTTCCTTAGATGTATTCCTAAGTATTTATGTGTGTGTGTGGTTATTGTAAATGAGATTGCATTCTTGATTTGACTCTCAACTTGAATGCTATTGTTGTATAGAAATGCTACTAATTTTTGTACATTGACTTTGTAATCTGAAACTTCACTGAAATCATTTATCAGTTCCAGGAGCATTTTGGCAGAGCCTTTAGGGTTTCCTAGGTGTAGAATAACATCTCCAGAGAACACAGATAGTTTGACTTCTTCTTTTCCTATTTGGATGCCTTTTATTTCTTTCTCTTGAGTGATTACTCTATCTGGGACTTCCAGTGCTATGTTGAACAGGGGTGGTGAAAGTAAACATCTTTGCCTTATTCTCATTCTCAAGGAGAATGCTGCTAGTTATTGCCCATTCAGTATGATGTTGGCTGTGGGTTTGTCATAGACGGCTCTTATTATTTTGAGGTATGTCCCTTCAGTGCCTAGTTTGCTGAGGGTTTTTAACATAAAAGGATGTTGGATTTTATCAAAAGCCTCTCTGCATCTATTGAGATAATCATGGTTATTGTTTTTAGTTCTGTTTTTGTGGTGAATCACATTTATAGATTTGTTTATATTGAACCAACCTTGCATCCTAGGAATGAAACCTATTTAATGATGGTGAATTACATTTTTGACGTCCTGCTGGATTTGGTTTGCTAGTATTTTGTTGAAAACTTTTGTATCTATGTTCATCAAGGATATTGACTTGTAGGTTTTTTTTTATGTTTTATTTTTATTTCTATCTTTGATGGGTTTTGGTATCAGGATGATACTGGCTTCACAGAATGAATTAGAGATGAGTTCCTCCACTTCAATTTTTTGAAATATTTTCCATAGAATTGGTAACAGTACTGTCTTTGCACATCTGGTAGAATTTTGCTGTGTATCCATCTGGTCTGGGGCTTGTTTTGGTTGGGAGGTTTTTTAATACTGATTCAATTTTGACCCTTAGTATCGGGGGAAATTCAGCCAGATATTGGGTGAAATTCACCCCTGATATTTCACGTAGGTTCTTTTCTGTTTTCCCTAAGTGTCGGCTGGTCTGAGAAATAAAGGTACAGAGTACAAAAGAGAGAAATTTTACAGCTGGGTGTCCGGGGGAGACCTCACATGTTGGCAGGTTCCGTGATGCCCCCTGAGCCGTAAAACCAGCAAGTTTTTATTAGTGATTTTCAAAAGGGGAGGGAGTGTACAAATAGGGTATGGGTCACAGAGATCACGTGCTTCACAAGGTAATAGAATATCACAAGGCAAATGGAGGCAGGGGGAGATCACAGGACCACAGGTCCAGGGCGAAATTAAAATTGCTAATTAAGTTTCAGGCACGCATTGTCATTGATAACATCTTATCAAGAGACAGGGTTTGAGAGCAGACAACGAGTCTCACCAAAATTTATTAGGTGGGAATTTCCTCATCCTAATAAGCCTGGGAGCGCTACAAGAGACTGGGGCTTACTTCATCCCTACAGCTTCAACCATAAAACACAGCCACCCACTGAAGCGGCCATTTCAGAGGCCTGCCCTCAGGGAAGGATTCTCTTTCTCAGGGATGTTCCTTGCTGAGAAAAAGAATTCAGCGATATTTCTCCCATTTGCTTTTGAAAGAAGAGAAATATGGCTCTGTTCCGCCCAGCTCACCGGCAGTCAGAGTTTAAGGTTATCTCTCTTGTTCCCTGAACATTGCTGTTATCCTGTTCTTTTTTCAAGGTGCCCAGATTTCATATTGTTCAAATACACATGCTCTGCAAACAATTGGTGCAGTTACCGCAATCATCACAGGGTCCTGAGGCAACATACATCCTCCTCAGTTTAAGAAGATGATGGGATTAAGAGATTAAAGTAAAGACAGGCATAGGACATCACAAGGGTATTGATTGGGGAAGTGATAAGTGTCCATGATATCTTCACAATTTATGTTCAGAGATTGCAGTAAAGACAGGTGTAAGAAATTATAAAAGTATTAATTTGGGGAACTAATAAATGTCCATGAAATCTTCACAATTCACGTTCTTCTGCCATGGCTTCAGCCAGTCCCTCCTTTTGATGTCCCTGACTTCCCGCAACACCTTAATATTGGTCTGTACAGGGTTTCAATTTCTTCCTGATAGATTGAATCTTGAGATATTGTGTGTTTTCAAGAATTTATTCATTTTCTATAGATTTTGTAGTTTGTTTGTATATGGGTGTTCATAATAGCCTCTGATAATCTTCTGAATTTATGAGAATGCTTATTTCCTCAGAGATTTGCCAATAGATTATGTAATCACATATAACTTTAAAAAATCTAATTAGGTTTAGGTTGAACTAAAAAACTTCATAAGGTTGAACATCTTTTTATTTGTTGGAGGTGTTTTGTGTTTATATTTTACATGAAATTTCTGTTCACAGTTTTTTTTCCCTTACAACAACTTTTTTTTCTCTTCAAATTTTAAAAGCCTTTTTCATTTTTGGATTTTAGCCCTTATGATTGAAATAGAAAATATTTTTGTCTCTGTTTCAATTTTTACTTTGGTATTATTTTCATTATTATTAATTATTATTATTGCCAAATAGGTTTTGAAAACATTTTATTAAGATACCATTTATATACAAATAAATTATCCTTTATAGTGAAAAATTCTAATAAATGGTGATAAATGATATATAGCCACTATTACAATCAAAATGGAAAAATGTTTTATCATTCTTTACTTGGGTGTTGTAAGGTCCTGTGTACAATTCTGCTAGAATTCCCATGGGCTATTATATCATTATAAAATTACCAAGGTAAAATATTCTCCCTATGTTCTAAAATCTGAGACTGAATTGCAAATCTGAGCCTGAAGAAATCTTATCAAGTTTTATCATTCTTCACAAATACCACCATTTTTTCTGTGGTTCTCATGTTCTCAATGCATGCACTAGAATATAAGGGTTTTGGTGTTACTTGCTTTTCACCATTATTGATACCTCTTGGTTGGTATACCATTATTGTTGCATACACAACTATGTATTAGTGTTTTGAATTCCTCTGAAATCTGCCAAACTATGACTTTTGTGGAGATAAGGGGATAAATAAAAGATATTTTACTCCTGTGTCCCCTTTGTTAACAGTTCATTTTACTTTCTCTCTGATACTAATGTATCATCCCTTCACTTGCAAAGAAAGAAACCTTAGATAGGAAAGTCATATGGTCCGCTGTTTGTGTAGTTTGTAACAATTACTTTCCACTCTCCTTGCACTATGAGATGAAGGCACAGGTCCTGCAGGAGTCTAGCACCCATATCAAAGCATTCAGTGGCAACCCACATCAGAAGTACATACATAGGAGAGGAGAAGAAAAGCTTGAGTTGTCCTGAGCCAGAAGTTAATCTTGAGATTATTATGGAAATTCCATGTGATCAATTAAAAATAGTTTTCTATGTTTTTAAACTTGATGGTGTTTATTGGTTTTGTTAAATATTTCAAATATAATTTGTGGTGACTTATTTCTCATTCTAAATTAAACATACCCTCTTATACTTTGTTTAGTATTTTAAAGGTTATATCCATTTTCTTAAAGGAAGAATCCAAAAAGTGTGAATTTATGCTCACCAAATCTGGATATCCCCTGCTCTGAGAAAAACTGTTCACATTTCCACTTACCAAGAGTCACAGTCTGTTTTTATTCTCTTCCTTTATCACTATTCTTTAGTCACTTCTGTCCATGCTGCCTTGTCAGCCGTAATAATAACTGTAAAATCTGATGTAGCTTTTACTTTATATGCTGTGATCTTTTATAAATATTTCATACTTCTGACTAAGGCAGGTACTATTTTCATCATCATTTTACAGATCAGAAAAGAGAGAATGGAGAGTTCAACCTCTATATTAAGGTTAAATGGCTAGTTGTAGTTGTGTGTCTGTGTACTTAATCACTGTGTTATATTGAAAATGTTTAACACTAAATACAAAAAAATATGACTCTAAGCTTTCAGTTTACTAGTTTATAATTCCTTATATTTGAATTATGCATCTAAAATGTCATCTTCCCTTTTCCCTTCTTTTTAAAATACTTTTCCCCCTTTATTCTTAACAGACTCCATTCATTTTCAAACGCATTAATGTCATCATCCTATTCCTCCTCTCCCTTCAGTGCTGATGTTACAGACACTTAGGATACATTTAAATTCTTTTATCACATTCTGAATTCCATCCTAGGATAATATAGGGCAGTGAAACTATTCTGTATAATACAAAACATTAAACATTTGTGAAAATCTATAGAACCTTATAGCACAAAGAATAATCCTGTTATTCTTTTACTAATATCTTTTCAAAAATGAATAATGTATGTAGAAGTATTCTATTGAAAAATATCTTGCCAAAACTTTGATTTTCTTCAGAGTACCTCATATATCACTTCATGTAATGAAAGACACTAGAAAGAAAGGTTCATAGCATGTACATACCTTAGAAAATGTGATTATAAATATGAATTCAGATTTTGAAGCAATTAGCAGGTCAGGATAGTCACTGGGCAGTACAATTTTTATTCTAACAGTGAAACGGTTTCAGGGGATTTTGTTCCTTCACACATCTTATCAGAAAATAATGCATCGTAATACTTCATAAATTATAAAACAAGCACTGCTTTCAAAAAATGACATGAAATTTGTAATGAATATGTGGCATGTACATACGGACAGCCCTTTGTCATCACTTGTGAATAAAAATGTACTGTAGTCAGTTAGGTCAGTTTAGTGTGTAGTAAGCTGCAGTTGAAACTCATCTTTATTGCCCTCCCCTCCAGTACATCTCAATAATACCAAGAATGAAGTTAATACATTTGGCCCATATTAGAATTGCCCCTTGTTCATTCTACACATCCTGTGATCCGTTGTTTAACATCTAAGCTAATGCTGAAAATTGCAAAGGAAGATGAAACTGGAAAGAAATGCTGAGGTATTCTATTTCCTCAAAACACATATTTTGATAAGTTCTCTGAAAAGTGTCTATTCAGTATATTTTAGGGTTGATATTGATAAAGGCAGTAGCTAATGTGTTACTTAGCTAAACTAAGGGAATAAATACATTATAATGATCTATTTTTGGACAACACTTTGAAGGTTGCAAATGATTTCATAGTTGCATTTTATTTATACTCTATTATAAACACCTGACGTGCACAGATTTAAAATTATTCTATAGTCAACAAAACTGAAATTTAGAGATGTTAAAATATATGCCCCTGTTAGTATACCTAGCTCAGCATGGGGATGCTCTCACAATAATTTTTTATTTAGTCATGTATAGTTTCTGGATCTTTTGCTATCATCACATTTACCTGTTTTTCAACTATTTTTCTAGCTTGTAGACATGTTATAGATACTGTTATTATGGATATTTTTAGCCAACTTTCAAAAAGTCGAGGGAGTGGTAATATTCATGCTTGCTCCTCTTTACTTCTTAGATTTTATGAGTCTCTTCTTTTAGAGAAGATTTGTTTAATAATATAGATAAAGATATACAACATGTCTCCTTGTCATTTGTTATAATCTTAAAGATTCATTGGAAACTACCTCATATGGAAATGATTATATAATTGTCAGAATATTTTACCTTTAATTTGGAGCAACATTTGTTATGTTATCATTGTGATGTTTTCAATATGACTTTCTTGGGAGTCACTGATATAGTTGAAACTTTTCTCTGACTATATATTTAGCTTTAAAATATTAGTATTGTTTCAGCTATTGAGATTGTCTCATTTTCTTTGTATTAATGATAAAATAGTTCAGATTATTTCAACAGTTTTATCACTAGTGCCATAAGAAACAAGAGGACAGCTTCTATCTAATGTAACTTTTAAAACAATCAACTCAATCCAAATATGATATGGTTTAGCTGTGTCCCCACCCAAATCTCATCTTGAATTGTAGCTCCCATAATTCCCACATGTGATAGGATGGACCCAGTGGGAGGCTAATGAATCATGGGGCCAGATTTTCCTGTGTTGTTCTCCTGATAGTGTATAAGTCCCATGAGATCTGATGATTTGATAAAAGGGCAGTTCCCCTGTACATACTCTCTTGCCAGTGCCACATATGATGTGATTTTGCTACTCATTTGCCTTCTGCCATGATGGTGAGGCTTCCCTATCCATATGGAACCGTGAGACAATTAATCCTCTTTCCTTTATAAATTACCCAGTCTCTGGTATGTATTAGCAGCATGAGAACTGACTAATAACATTAAATTAGTACTGCAGTAGGGCGGTAAAGAGTAGGGCCGGTAGAGAGTAGGGTGCTGCTGTAAAGATACCCAAAAATGTGAAAGTGACTTTTGGAATTTGGGTAACAGGCAGAGGTTAAAACAGTTTGGAGGGATAAGAAGAAGACCGGAAAATTTGGAAAAGTTTGAAACTTCCTAGAGAATTGGAGGGCTCAGAAGACAGGAAGATGTGGGACAGTTTGAAAATTCCTAGAGACTTGTTGAATGGCTTCGACCAAAATGCTGATAGACATATGGAAAATGAAGTCCAGGTTGCAGTGATCTCAGGTGAAGATGAGACATTGTTGGGAATTGGAGCAAAGGTGGCTCTTTGTATTCTTTGGTAAAGAGACTGACAGCATTTTGCTCTGTCCTAGAGATTTGTGACACTTTGAACCAGAGAGAGATTATTTAGGCATCTGGTGGAAGAAATTTCTTAGCAGCAAAGTGTTCAAGTGGTGACTAGCATGCTATTAAGGGTATTCAGTTTTATGTATTGACAAAGATATGATTTGGAATTAGAATTTATGTTTAAAAGGGAGGCAGAGCATAAAAGTTTGGAAAATTTGCAGCCAGATGATGTAATAGGAAAAAAAAAATTCCTAAGGAGAAATTCCAGCCTGCTGCAGAATTTTGCATAAGTAACAAGGAATCAAATGTTAATCACCAAGATAATGAGGGCAATGTCTCCAGGGCATGTCAGAGGCCTTCATGGCAGCCCCTCCCATCACAGGGCCTAGGAGGAAAAATGTTTTTGTGGCCCAAGCCCAGCCACCTCCCCACCTCCCAGCTCTGTGCAGCCTAGGAACTTGGTGCCCTGCATCTCAGCTACTCAAACCATGGTTAAAAGGCACCAAGGTATGATCAGACTGTAGCTTCAGAGGGCATAAGCCCCAAACCTTGGCAGCTTCCATGTGTTGTTGAGCCTGTGGGTGCACAGAAGTCAAGAGTCGAGGTTTGGGACCCTCCACATAGATTTCAGAGGATGTGTGGAAAGGCCTGGATGTCCAGACAGAAGACTGCTGAAGGGCAGAGCCCTCATGGAGAACCTCTGCTAGGGCATGTGGAAAGGGAATATGGGGTTGGAGCACCTTCACAGAGTCCCCACTAGGGCACTGCCTAGTGGAGCTGTAAGAAGAGGGCCACTGTCCTCCAGACTCCAGAATGGTAAATCCACTAACAGCTTGTGCCATGTGCCTGGAAAAGCTGCAGACACTCAACCTCAGCCTGTGAAAGAAGCTGGGAGGAGGCCTGTACCCTGCAAAGCCAGAGGGGTGGAGCTGCCCAAGGCCATGGGAGGCCACCTCTTGCATCAGTGTGACTTGAATGTGAGCTGTAAGATTTACTTACTCCCTCGTTGGATTTTGGACTTGCATGGGGCCTATAGTCTCTTTGTTTTTGCCAATTTCTCCCATTTGGAATGGGTTTATTCCCAATGCCTGTACCCCCATTGTATCTAGGAAGTAACTAACTTTCTTTTGATTTTACAGGCTCATAGGTGTGACTGTTGGAAAGGCATGATTGGTTTTGAAATGTAAGAACATGAGATTTGGGAGAGTCCAAGGGAGGAATGATATGGTTTGGCTGTGTCTCCATCCATATTTCATCTTGAATCGTGGCTCACATAATTCCCATGTGCCATGGGCAGGACCCAGTGGGAGGTAATTGAATCATGGGGGCAGGTTTTCCTGTGCTGTTCTCATGATAGTGACTAAGTCTCATGATATCTGACAGTTTGATAAAAGGGCATTTTCCCTGCACACACTCTCTTGCCTGCCACCATGTAAGATGCAATTTTGCTCCTCATTAAACTTCTACCATGATTGTGAGGCCTCCCAAGCTATGTGGAACTGTGAGTCAATTAAACCCCTTTCCTTCAAAAATTACTCAGCCTTGGGTATATCTTTATTAGCAGCATGAAAACAGACTAATACAATATATGTCTATGAATACATATACATATACTATATATTATTTTATTGGTATGCATATATTTACTAAAAATAATGTACGTTTATTATAAGCAATAAATATCATATCAATTTTTCACTTGTGTGTAATCAATAATAAGTATACACAGTTCACAATTTATATGATACTATAAGAGTACAAATTGATGAAGCAAGCTAAATACATGCAAAATGATATTAATCAACAATAAAAAAAGAGGATTATCTTATTACCTTTAAACAATTGTGTCAGAACACTAAAATTCTCTTATTGTTGGTGATAAATATATGGGAAAATTCAAAAATAATCAAATATTTATTTTACACAGTTATATACAATATTAGAAACATTGATAATTGTTTTGTTTCTTTGAAAAAATCTTATCAAGAGTAATTTGAACATTGTTTGCCTTCTCATTTTATAATGCACAATATGAAATGAGAATCCTTTTTATAACTTGGCCAGTTATCATACTCTTTCTAAATTTGGATCCGTTTCCAACATTTAATTTTTTTTGTTTCAATGTTGTGCAATATATTCAAGATTGTCCTTACTATGAAGTTTTCTCCATTCACTTTCTTTGGGACATCATCTTTTTTATTGAAACTTCCCCTTCATTTATGTCAATACTTTTGCCTTCATTAACTATTTCTGCCTCCATATTTAGAATCCCTTGAACAGTAGCAGTGTCAACATTCCCAGAACCAATGGTCAGTCTGTTTCTTCTATAGCTTCATTTACATTTGATTAGAATTTTACTACCAGAATTATCATTCTTTGCTTCTTTGTGCACTTTTATTTTTGTTGGCCAATTTTTTCTCTTGATCATTTCTTCAATAAAATATCACCTGTATTCATTACTGAGAACGAGGAAACAGCACAACTACATGCTTTACTATTTGTGTATTAACTGAATTACAGATATGCAGACTTTGGGATAAGTGATATGTTTGGTGATTATTATGTACATCTGGTTTCACTTAATGAATTTTGGACTGAAAAGCTAGCAGCAAAGTTTGTACTTCATGGAATTACTCAGTTAATATACTGTGGTAGCTGAAATTTGTACCTTCTTGCTGTTGCACTGGTGTTATTTAATTAAACCACTAAACTTAGTAATGAAAATCCATGCGTATTGCGACTGTGAAAAGTGAGTACTGCTTGAATTAAAATTTTGGCATATACTTCAGTATTTGTATTCTGCCCAAATACACCTTTGATTCTCTTTATTTTCTCTTCACAGATTTTCAAAAGCATACATTTTGCCAAAGTTTTCTCCTGAAAGCCATACCTATTTACATGTTTACAAAACTGTGTTACAGAAATGTGCTAATTTTCCCCAAACATCCATTTGTTAGTCAAGTGGTATCTAATTCAATTTATATTGAAAACAAATCCACTCAGACTTAGTGATAAAATGCAATTCGTAAAATATTCAGTTCATCAAAATAAAACATGTAACTTTTTCCTCTAACCAACATATTGCATTTCAGTATAGTAAATAGTAAAAATACAGACACCAGTTGAGATAAACACATTTATTTCTTTATTTTTAGTTATATTTACCATTAATGTTTACCTTACATTTAAAATTATATTAGACTTGAATTGATTTGCTTGCTATAAAACACTGTAACAAAAGAAGAATGAGAACTCATGCTTAGAAATGAAATGCCTTTGCACTAAGGCTCTTCTAAAGGTACCAGTAATGTCCTTTCTGAGACTAAAATTATTTATTGTCTTGGAAATGTTTCCAACATTCGTCCTTTCACAGTATAAGGGCAGTGAAAAAAGTTTTCCTCAGCAAAACATGTATATTGCAAAAATTTCAAGTGATCTGAAAATCATAAAATGTGGTATAAGAATAGCTTCTATTTAAAGGGTACCAATGTATGAAGTGGTGTTTTAAGTGCTTTACTCGTGACAACTTATTCAGTCTTCTAGAAGAGCTCTCAGAAGTGGAAGCCAGTATTGTCTTTGTTCTGCATGTGAGAAAACTGATACAAAATTATTAAATAACCTTACCAAAGTCCCTACTCTGCTGGGTGTGAGAATGTGTATTTGAACCTAGGCTTCCTGATTCCACATCATGCTAATCATGTATTCCAGCAATTATATTTTACAATTTATATGTCAAAAATCACTAATACAAAAACAAAGCAAAAAGAATATTAGTTTGGATCTGTACTTCCAGAGATTAAAGTAAAATTTAAAAAAATAGATTAATATCATCTTGCTGATGTGAAAGTGAGTTTGAAACATTGCTTTATTTTAAAGTTATTTTGGATATTCTACTTTTCTCCTAATATATTAGTGTCTAAGTTGCATAAGTTACTTGATATCTATAAATTAAAATGTATAAATATTACCACTGAGAATAAAATTAGTACATTGTATGAACTATTTGATTTTAAGCAAGTATGAATGGCATGTCTACAAATTTCCCAAATATGTAGAATTCTCTTCACTGTTTCACAGTATGGTTTAATGAATTTTAAGTTAAAACATTTAGTTATTCTGTTAAATATTCTGAACAGTTTGTTAGAAATCTTTTGAACCATTTTGAAAGGAAGTAACTGCATAGTGTTTTTAGTTGCATTCCAGCATATTCATATATTTAAAACATTTGGATAACAACTCCCTTCCCAGTTGTTAAAGCAAGGGGTATTTTGTGGAATAAAATTAACTAGGAAGAAAAGATTGAGCTTAATTCATCACTTTCAATAAAGTAAATGATAGACATAGAGTTTGTTAAAATATAGGAAGTGTGGTTAAGGAAAATATTATAAATCAGGAGAGCACAGTGATAAGATAAGAGCACATTTAGAATGTTGATGAAATTGGAATGTGTCTTGGGATATATGGTGAATATTCATTCTTCCAAGAAAAACTCATCTAATCTCCATCTAATAATTCAGCATTCTAATTACATGGCAAGATTTGAATTAATATGTTTACTAAGGACATGAATTTTAATTTTACTTAACCCCACCATAATTTGATTCATAACATGAATAATTGTATTCTTCTGAAATACTTGGGGACTCTGTGAATTTACACAAATAAAAGCACATGAGTTGGAAATTGACTTTTGGTTTTACGCCAAGTCTAGTCTCTTTACATTTCTGTTGTGTCCTTGTATATTAAAAATGTAAAAATATTTTTGAAATATTTAAAAGACAGAGCCGAAACATTCATATTACTTCTTAATGAAAACTTTTCTTCTTGCACAATCCCTGGAAAACTGTACAATTTTGTAAAATACTAGATTTAGTTAATTCTATGAATAGAAAAACAAGCACTTTTGAGTAAGTAAGATTACGATTAAGAAGTAAAAAATAAAATCTATTAGGAACTGATTTGGTAAAGGAAGAAAATGATTCTATAGCCAGATAACTAATTCCTTCTTAATTAATCCCATTAGATCTTAAAGACTTAGTGTAACATTAGAGGTAAATATTAAAAATATAAAATGATTTTTATTTTTGGCTATAGTAGAAATTTATAAACTTTGATTCCAGCTGCCTCTCCACTCACAACTAAATTTTTTCTGATATCAAAACTTTTATTACAAAAAAAGCTCTCAAATGTGTTCTCATCATACAGCTGTTTCAGTTAGCCTTTATCTCATTAGAATAAAATTAAAAAGCAATGCCTGAGATCTATGCCCTTTTAATAATCCAAAATCACTGGTGTGGACCTTAGTAATTAAACTGCTTCCAAGCCTTGGCAAGTTAGTTACTATGATTTAAATGTCATTATTTTTATTTTGAAACTAGTGTGGGAATCTAACAAGATTCATTGACATTTTGCCAAATTAGTAGTATTCTAGAGAAGAAGGAACACTGGGGAAAAAAAAATACTTTGGCCAAATGTCTGTTTTACAATTAAGAAACCCTATAATGTTTAATGTTTAATGTTAATTAAACATTGATGTTTAATGTTAATATTTCCCAGAACTTTAGTTCCTTTATCAGAATTATAGATACTATCTTTATAAGTTTTGATGATTTAACAAAATGTCATCTTTTAAAAATATGTTGTAAACCAAATATTAGCATGCAACTAACCTACTACTACAGCAAAGTATTCCCAATTAACTGAATCCAAATTTCTGAAATGAAGCAACTGATGGTATAACAAAAAAAGTAAAAATAGTATGTAATAATAAAAAAGATTAATCGTTTAAATTTTATTACATTTACTTTTCTTTTTTCCTGTCAGCTAAAGTTATTTTTTAATTCTGTTTATCTTTTCAAAAAATCAGCTCTTTATTACTCTTTTGTATTTTTTAGTTTTTGCTTCATTTATTTATGCTCTGATCATTTGTATTTCATTTCTTCTACTAATTTTGGCTTTAGATTGTGTTTTTCTAGTTCTTTGAGGTGTAAGGTTAGGTTGTTTATTTGAGATCCCTCTACTTTTTTCAGTTAAGCATTTATTGCTGTAAACTTCTCTCTTAGAACTGCTTTTACTCTTCCCCACAAGTTTTGCTATGTTGTATTTCCTTTTTTTTTTTTATCTCAAGGAATTTTTTACTTCCTTTTTTATTTCTTTATTGCTACACTGGTTGATTATAGGCATGTTGTTTGCTTTTTATTTATTCATACAGTTTCTAAAGTTCCACTTGTTATAAATTTCTAGTTTAATCCACTGTGGTCAGAAAATATGCTTGATAAGATTTCAGCTTTAAAATTTGGTAAGATTTTTGTGTGGCCTAACATAATTCATGCTGGATAATTTTTAAATGTGCTATTGAGAAAAATATGTATTCTGCTGCTCTAAGGTGGAATGTTCTGTAAATGTCTGTTGGGTCCATTTGATTTAGAGTACAGTTTAACTCAATGTTTCTTTGTTCATTTTCTGTCTGGGCGATCTATCTATTGCTGAAAGTGTAGTGCTGAAGTTAGTAATTTTTGTATTAGAGTCAATCTCTCCCTTTAGGTCTGTAAATATTTGCTTTATATATTTAGGTGTTCCAATATTAGGTGCATATATATTTACAATTGTTATATCCTCTTCCTGTATTGTATCATTACACAATGACCCTCTTTGTCTTTTTAAAAATCATTTTTAACTTAAAGTCTATTTTATTCTATATGTCTAGCTACCCCTACTCTTTTTAGTTTCCATTTTCATGGAATGTCTTTTTCCATCCCTTTCTTTGGTTTTCAATCTATTTATGTGTTTATAGTTGAAGTAAGTTTCTTGTTGGCAGCTTGTGTCTTGTTTTGTTATATTTTTGTTGTTTTTAATCTATTCTGCCACGCTATGTCTTTTAACTAAATAATTTAGTCAATCTACACTCAAGGTTATTATTGATAGGTAAGAACTTACTGCTGATGTTTTATTGTTTTCTGATTGTTTTATAACTACTCCCTTTCTTTCTTTCTTTTTCCTTTCATCTTACTCTGTGATTAAGTTAGTTTCTTTGGTTTTCTTCTAAGGTTTTTATGGTTTTAGGTCTAACATTTAAGTCTTTAATCCATCTTGAATTAATTTTTGTATCAGGTGTAAGGAAGGGATCCAGTTTCAGCTTTCTACCTATGGCTAGCCAGTTTTCCCAGCATCATTTATTAAATAGGGAATCATTTCCCTATTTCTTGTTTTTGTCAGGTTTGTCAAAGATCAGATGGTTGTAGATGTATGGTATTATTTCTGAGGGCTCTGTTCTGTTCCATTGGTCTATATCTCTGTTTTGGTACCAGTACCATGCTGTTTTGGTTACTGTAGCCTTGTAGTACTGTTTGAAGTCAGGTAGTGTGATGCCCCCAGCTTTGTTCTTTTGGCTTAGGATTGTCTTGGCAATGTGGGCTCTTTTTTGGTTCCATATGAACTTTAAAGTAGTTTTTTCCAATTCTGAGAAGAAAGTCATTGGTAGCTTGATGGGGATGGCATTGAAACTATAAATTACCTTGGGCAGTAGGGACATTTTCACGGTATTGATTCTTCCTATCTATGAGCATGGAATGTTCTTCCATTTGTTTGCATTATCTTTTATTTCATTGAGCAGTGGTTTGTAGTTCTCCTTGAAGAGGTCGTTCACATCCCTTATAAGTTGGATTCCTAGGTATACTATTCTCTTTGAAGCAATTGTGAATGGGAGTTCACTCATGATTTGGCTCTCTGTCTGTTATTGGTGTAGAATTCCATGTTCAATGCTTCCTTCAGGAGCTCTTGTAGGGCAGGCCTGGTGGTGACAAAATCTCTCAGCATTTCCTTGTCTGTAAAGGATTTTATTTCTCCTTCACTTACGAAGTTTAGTTTGCCTGCATGTGAAAAGCCACAATTGACAAATGGGATCTAATTAAACTAAAGAGCTTCTGCACAGCAAAATAAACTACCATCAGAGTGAACAGGCAACCTACAGAATGGGAGAAAATTTTTGCAATCTACTCATCTGACAAAGGGCTAATATCCAGAATCTACAAAAAACTCAAACAAATTTACAAGAAAAAAACAAACAACCCCATCAAAAAGTGGGCAAAGGAGATGAACAGACACTTCTCAAAAGAAGACATTTATGCAGCCAACAGACACATGAAAAAATACTCATCATCACTAGTCATCAGAGAAATGCACATCAAAACCACTATGAGATACCATCTCACATCAGTTAGAATGGTGGTCATTAAAAAGTCAGGAAACAACAGGTGCTGGAGAGGATGTGGAGAAATAGGAACACTTTTACACTGTTGGTGGGACTGTAAACTAGTTCAACCGTTGTGGAAGACAGTATGGCGATTGCTGAAGGATCTAGAACTAGAAATACCATTTGACCCAACCATCCCATTACTGGGTATATACCCAAAGGATTATAAATCATGCTGCTATAAAGACACATGCACACATATGTTCATTGTGGCACTATTCACAATAGCAAGGACTTGGAGCCAACCCAAATGTCCATCAATGATAGACTGGATTAAGAAAGTGTGGCACATATACACCATGGAATACTATGCAGCCATAAAAAAGGATGAATTCATGTCCTTTGTAGGGACATGGATGAAGCTGGAAACCATCATTCTCAGCAAACTATCGGAAGGAAAAAAAACGAAACACTGCATGTTCTCACTCATAGGTGGGATTGAACAATGAGAACACATGGACACAGGAAGGGGAACATCACAATCCAGGGCCTGTTGTGGAGTGGGGGGAGGCGGGAGGGATAGCATTAGGAGATATACCTAATGTAAACGATGAGTTAATGGGTGCAGCACACCCACATGGCACACGTATACATATGTAACAAACCTGCACATTGTGCACATGTGCCCTAGAACTTAAAGTATAATTTAAAAAATAGTTTGTGTGACAAAAAAAAGCTATTTTATTTGGTAATATGTTTTAAATTCGTTATTTTTTATTTTTACTTTTTCACTTTTTATTCTTACTCTATTAAATATTTTCGCTTTGTGTTTACCATGAGGCTTACCAAAAACATCTTATAATTTTAACATCCTCTAAAATCTGTAACAAGACGAGGATACTGAATTCCACTTTTTTTTTTTTTGAGACAGAGTTTTGCTCTGTTGCCCAGGCTGGAGTGCAGTGGCGCCATCTCGGCTCACTGCAAGCTCCACCTCCCAGGTTCACGCCATTCCCCTGCCTCAGCCTCCCGAGTAGCTGGGACTACAGGCACCTGCCAGCACACCCGGCTTAATTTTTTTGTGTTTTTAGTAGAGACTGGGTTTCACCATGTTAGTCAGGATGGTCTCGATCTCCTGACCTCGTGATCTGCCCGCCTCGGCCTCCCAAAGTGTTGGGATTTCAGGCGTGAGCCACCGCACCCTGCCCCAATTCCACTTCTTTTATTCAACCTAGTACTGAAAGATCTAGCCAGAGCAATTAGGCAAGAGAAAGAAAGAAAGGGAAATTTTCCAAATTGGAAAACAGGAAGTCAAATTGCTCTTGTTTTCTCATACTGTTATGTATATAAACCCTAAAGACTCCATCCAAAAACTATTAGAATTTATACATTTAGTAAAGTTTATAGAATACAAAATCAACATACAAACATCCGTAGCATCTGTACACATCAATAGCAAATGATCTGCAAAGGAAATCAAGAAATCAATTCTATTTACAATATCTACAAGAATAATAATACCTAGAAATAAATTTAACCAAGGGGGCAAAACATCTCTACAGTGAAAACTAGATAACGTTGATGAAAGAAATTAAAGAAAACACAAATAAATAAGAAGATATTTTGTGTTCATAGATTGGAAGAATTAATATTTTAAAGACGTCTGTATTACCCGAAGCAATCTACAGATTCAATGCAATCCCTATGAAAATAACAATAGCATTCTTCACAGAAATAGAAAACAAACCTTAAAATTCATTTGGAAATGCAAAAGATCCTGGATTGTCAAAGCAATCATGAGAAAAAGAAAATAATGCTGGAGGCATCACAATACCTGACTACAAAATATACTACAATGCTATAGTAACCAGAACAGCATGGTATTAGCCCAAAAATAGATTTATAGACTAATGAAACAGAATACAGAGTTCAGAAGTAAATGCATACATTTATAGCCAACTGCTTTTTAACAAAGGTGCCAAAACACACATTGAAAAATGAATTATTTCTTAAAAAAATGACACAAGCAAAACTGAATGTTTACAAGCAGAAGAATTAAACAAGGCTCCTCTCACTATGTTCAAAAATCAACTCTAAATATATTAAAGACATAAATATATGACCTCCAACTGAAAGAAAACATAGGAGAAACACTTCGGAACCTTGGGCTAGGAGATGATTTTTTCAACAAAATCTCAAAAGCACTGGCAACCAAAGCAAAAAGTAGAAAAATAGGGTTATGTCAAACTAAAAAGCTTCTGCACAACAAAGAAGACAATCATGATAATGAAGAGACAACCTATAGAATGGGAAGAAGTATTTGCAAACTATACATTTGACAAAGGGTTAATATCCAGAATATATATAAGGAACTCAAACAACTCAATGGCAAACAAAAGATCCATCCACAAATAATCCAATTAAAAGACGGTCAAAAGATCTGAGTTACACATTTCTCAAAAGAAGACATACAAATGTCCAATAGATATATGAAAGACTGTTCAATATCAATAGTCATTGGAAAAATGCAAATCAAAACCATGAGATATTACCTCACCCTAAGTAAAATGACTATTATCAAAAAGACAAAACATAACAAACCTTAGGGAAGATGTGGAAAAAGGGGAACACTTATGTTCTGTTGGTAGGAATGTAGATTAGCACAGCCATTATAGAAAACAGTGTGGTAGTTTCTTAAAAAATTAAAAATAGAACTATCCAAAGGATGTAGAGTATGTTTGTTAAAGAATTATCTCTACTCTTAATTTTATTGCCGTTCTATGCATGATAACCAAGAATAGAATCAACCTAAATGCTCATCTCACATGAATAAAAAATATGTGATTTGGAAATATATATATAATATTCCATTGTATATATGTGTGTATATATATATATATATACAGACATAAAATCACTTAATGTTTATTCTGTTCATTGTGTGTGTGTGTGTGTGTGTGTATATATATATATAGTATTCTATCACATACGGAATACCATACCATATACAATGAAATAGTATTCCATTGATTAAATACATACATACCTATGTACATATATATATACACACACACATATATGTATGTAAATATGTATGTATTGAATCAATGGAATACTGTTTCATTATATACGGTATAGTATTATATAGATGATGAAATACTACTTGGGGCATAGAACAGAATGAAATAGTGTTATTCACAGCAACGTTGACTGTGGAAGACAATGTTAAATGAAATAAGCCAGGCACAGAAAGACACTGTATTATCATTAATCCGTGGAATCTGAACAAGTGGATTGCATAAAAGTAGAGAATAGAATAGTGTGTACCAAAGACTGGGGATGGGGGTAGAAGGTGGGTGTACTGGGAGAGGTTGATCAAAGGGTACAAAATAAAAGTCGAACAGGAAGAATAGTTATTGCATTCTATTACATAGTAGGGTGACTGTAGCTAATAACACTGTGGTGTACATTTCCAGACAGCTAGAAGAAAAAATTTCAAATATTATCACCAGAAAGAAATGATAAATATTTACAGTGTTGGATGTGGTAATTACTCTGATTTGATCATTACATGATGTATACATGCATTAAAGCATAATATTGTACCCCATAAATATGCAAAATTATGTCAATTATAATTTTTTTAAATAACTAAAAACTTTATTTTATACTCAGCAGTAATGTCAACTGAACATGAAGGTGATCAAAATAAAGGATCATATTTGAGAATAGTCAGGTAAATAATACAGATATTGTTAACTCAGGGAGCATTTTTCATTTGTGATTTATTCATCTTAAACATACTGTATTTCTTCCTTGAGATTAAACCTGAAAACTTCTACCTAAACACATTTTTCTTTCTATTAGCTCATTGAATGAATAGAAATGGAGAGACATTCTTAATATATAATTGATAATCATTTTTCAACTTTATTATTTCTAGAAATTTCTTCTTTCATGTATGCTTAAAATGCTACAGAAAAGATGGTTAAACTTTCTGTCTTTGGCCTTGAAACAAATGGTGCTTGTGATAGGGACAAGCTGGAAGATATGTATCTTATCAATACTGTTGTGACTCTGCTGTACCATCCAGATTGGTGCAGCTAGCTCATCTAGATAATACATGCATTTTAATCAATAATTTAATTAAGCCTTATGTTGAAAAGCAATAAGTTCAAATAATATTCTAGAAAATTTTTCATTTGCAACTTAGAAATATGTCAGTTCATTTAAAATGATTTTTACAAGTATTATGACATTTTAATCTCAAATTCCCATTTGGATAAACTACCTGTCCTGTCAGAGCCTGGTTTACCTTGGGCCACCATAACACCCTTATACAAGTAACATAATTACATCCTGAACTCAGCTGCCAGCTGATTACATTTCCATTCATAACCTATCTTGACTGCTGTACTCATTATTCTAGGTTAAAAAGGCTTTCGATAAAGAAAATCTTCATTTACTTACATAAAATTATATCTGAGTTTTGCATTCTAACCTTCATTAACCATTCTTTAGCTTACCTAATATTGGCATATAAAATCATTTAAAACTAATTGATACTCATTCTATATGAAGGAAAATATGTACATAAAATAGTTTTAGGGCTTTAAGATGTCACATGGCCACAGCAGTTTTAAGATGCTGTATCTATTCCTTTCTTGCAAAGAAAAAATACTTTTCTTTACTAGACATAGCATTTTTTTTTTTTATTTTTCACTACCTCTCTTCATTTCGCAATATCTGTCATCAAACTGAGCTAGTAATCTCTTTTACCAGGATTTATTTTTTCTCATTAACAGTGCCATTCTCAAGGAAATGATTATATATAGTGTTTAAAATGGAAGACTTTGTAAGAAATAGAGATTATGTGATTCTCCTTCTATCATGCCTTGTTGATAAAACAAAATGTAAATTTACACATTCTATTTTGGGTATTCAGAAAAAAATAAAGTCACATGCCACTTTGTTTCCTACATATATATTAGGGTCAGCACTTTCAGATGAACTTAGTGGCTTGACTAAATTTCAACTTGCATAATTACTATTTGCTTATGCAAATTCTCTCTTTAATTAAAATCACTTAATGCAGCCACAGTTTCACAACCTAAATTATTCCATTTTTCTGAGTCATTAAATTTATTAAGAATCAGCCTTGCTTTACTACTGAAGTTTCATAGATTAACTTCTCAATCATGTAAGTGAAAAATTGAGAAGAAAAGCAGCCATTTTGGTGCAGCAGCTTTTTCTAACTGATCTTATGATAATATAAAAGCTTACTCTCTTATAACCAGTAATATACATAAGAAGTATCTATCATTCATATCCCCATTCTCACCAAATGGTGACGATTCTACTTTCTTAATGTATATTTTTTATAGAAATGTGTTATATATTTAAGCAGAGCAGTAATTGCATTTAATTATGTTAGAATTAGGCTAATTTCTAAGATATCATGAGCTCTAAGTCATTATATAAGAATCACGGCATTGATATTAAATATAATTTGGAATTCAAGCATAGCACAACATTTATCCAGTCTTAAATATGTGTCATGTCCAGTAGAAAACAAATATGTAGATAATTACTTCACAAAAACAAAAGCAAAATTTCCAAACAACCCTCTATAACTCTCTTTCCTGCCAAAGTGTTGTGCCACATAGCATCAAATCCTGTCACTCTGCACACTCTAATTATACTCCTGTTGCCCTTATTCTTTCATTTTCTCTCTTTTTCCCGTTCACACGGGCCCATACACCTGCCTCTGCCCCTGTTCCAGTTCCTCTTTACTCAAGTCTCAGATACCTTTCCAGTCTCATTGACATCCCTCTTTATCTACCATATTTGCTACTTACAGAGTAATCTTTCAGTATTGTCACATTCCTATTATAAAATTGAGAGTGGTAAATATTCTTTGTTTCCTCATTTTTTAACTTGTTTCTCAGGAATATGAAGTCTTGGAATTACTTACACATATTAAGATGTAAAAGCCAATAGAATTTGAACAACTGAAAATATAAATGAGAAAGGTAAAAAAAAAGATAAAAGAAGATCCCAGAGGAAAATGAAAGAGAAAGCATCATGTACTTTGATGAAAAATTAGCTTTAAAAGCAGGGTAGAATGTATGATCATATTGACCCTACACAGAAAGGAAGGGGAAAAGCTCACATAAGATATTCTTGATCGTTTTAGGGAGACAGAAAGACCTGTGTTCTCTCAGGATTGAAGAAAAGAGTAGTAGATTTTTGTTGACTTGTAACAAACCAACTAGACCTTTGAAGCGTATTAATAAAATTATTATAATGATGAGATAAATGCTCATTCCACACTCGATAGGCCAATTTGTCCTGAACAAACTAAATATGCCCTTCTCATAGCAAAGACAACCGTGAAAATAGCTGATTATCTGATATGCACCAAAAAGGAAGACAAGTAAAGGGCAGGGAGGCATGGTAGCCTGTGAGTATAGGGAAGAGAGGTAAAAAAAGCAAAAGCAAAACAACAACAAAACCTTTGTTGTCAAAGATAAAGTCCAATAAACCTGAGGAATCATTATAAGAAGAAGAGGAAAATCATGATTTTAAGCTTTAAATTGAAGAGTTTCTGCTGGGTTATGAGAGCTTATTGTGGCTTACGTATAATTGGCTGACAGAGTAGGGAGGAGTCATTGAAGTTAAGGAGAATGAGGCACTGTGCATATTAAGGAGACTATACTATGCCTGTTAACACACCAACAATGAATGGTGGCAATTATAACTCCTCCCCAGTGAGGCTGGAAGAAATATTTGTGGGCTCCAGACAGCCACAGACAATATTCCATTCAGAAAACTGATATATTTAGTGTGTATACAAGTTTCCTTTGTGGCATGTACCCATGTTAAATCTGATTTCTCTTTTTTATTTGTATATTCTCCTTATTGTGATAGCTCAATCCACTTTGTTTTCCCTGTGCCATATGTAATCTAATTTTCCTATCCCTTGGCAGTCTGTAGGTAGTGATAGAAATACATTTACTGTATATATTTGTTAGAGTTCAGTTTCGAAGTGTTAGTGCCTCTTTAGAAAATGTAGGCATAGATTGATCCTCGGGGTATAAATCGGATTACAGAATCACAGGAAAGACTAAGATGCAGATTCATGGATGAGCTCACAGAAAGCATACTACCAACATCACGTTATGAAATCAGACAGAAATGTCACTGTTGTTCCTGTAACCATCTCAAATCCTCAGCTTGGGAAAACAAGATCACTGCTGTTGGCCTCATCACTAGACCAGTTCTGCCTCACATTTCACTTCTTATTTCACTGTATTTAATTTCAGAATCAAAATCAAATTTACAAATTCAGGGACACAAAAATACAGGAAAGGTGGCCAGGTGTGGTGGCTCACACCTGTAATCCCAGCACTTTGGAAGGCAGAGGTGGGTGGATCACCTGAGGTCAGGAATTCGAGACCATAATTGCCAACATGGCAACCATCTCTACTAAAAATACAAAAAGTAGCCAGGCATGGTGGCAGGTGCCTGTAATCCCAGCTACCAGGGAGGCTGAGGCAGGAGAATCACTTGAACCTGAGAGGCAGAGGTTGCAGTGAGCAGAGATCGTGCCACTGCACTCCAGCCTGGGTGACAGAGTGAGACTCCATCTAAAAAAAAAAAAAAATTCTGGAAGGGTAATATTTTGTATTCCAACCTCTCCAAAAGAGAAAAGATTTTAGAAGGAAAGTGACATCAATATTGAACATCTATATGATATAGTTTAAATTTCAATAACCTTCACCTTCAATTGCTACTTTAGACTCTATAACATTATACAAAATCCTCAACAAGCATTTCTACAAGAAATCCATCTGGCGCTTTTATTTCTACTTAAGTAGTCCAAGTTCTCTCTCCAATTGCTGTGTCTTTCCAACTTGATGGCAGTACATACCCATGTATAAAAGCCTTTATGGTAACAAAGCTTTGCAGTAAAGAAAGTTCAAAGAAATACAATTGCTCCTATTTTTGGGGTCCCTGAAAAGAATTTTTCAGACACCTTTTTGTAGGGTCCAGCAGAGAAACGTAATAGTCTGTTTTCATGTGGTTAGGGCAGAAATAGAGGTTGATGATAGTACTATACTGCACTCAGCATCAGTACCTATTTGTATGTCTAAAGCATTTCTGCTGACTTAAAGCTCATTCTACTTGGCTACTTCTTGTATTTGAATGGCTGCTCCAGCAGTCACATTAGAGTGTGTGTGTATGTGTGTTTGTGTCTATGTATGGATGTGTGTGTGTGTGTGTTTGTATATATATATATGTACACACACATATATGTATCTATATATCCTTACATACTTCTATTTGTTTATAAAGTCTCAGAGTACTTACATATGTAAATTTATACACAGAGAATTTATATATGCATACTCTATATAGATATAAATTTTACATATATACTTACAAAAGTATAAAGAACCCTGAAACATCAATAATATAAAAATAAAGTCTAAATATATACTTAGTATATTTTAGTGTTAAAGCATAAAAATGTGATATGCACTTTATTTAAATGATATATTGTAAAGTTTAGATATATAAACTGCAACTTCAGGGACATAGCAATTCAGAAAAGGTACTATTTAGCACTCCAATCTGCCTCTATATACATATAAACTTTAGGTATAACTTTGTAAATCTTATGTATATTTATATATATAAAGATTATAGAAACAAACTTTATGTATATAAATGTTTTATGTATTTATATATATACACACACATACACATATATACATATATATAAAGTTCTGTCAAACCTATTCTACCTGTGTGCCAGTTATCAATAGAAATGTGATTTAGCAATGTGATTTATTGGTGGCTCATGCCTGTAATCCCAGCACTTTGGGAGGGTGAGGCAGATGGATCACAAGGTCAAGAGATCGAGACCATCCTGGCCAACATGGTGAAAGCCTGTCTCTACTAAAAATACAAATATTAGCTAGGCATGGTGGCACACACCTGTAGTCCCATCTGGTCAGGAGGCTGAGGCAGGAGAATCGCTTGAACCCGGGAGACATAGGTTGAAGCGAGCCAAGACCATACCACTGCACTCCAGCCCAGCGACAGAGCATGACTCCGAAAAAAAGAGAAACAAAACAGAAATGTTATTTCTATGTAATATCAAACGAAGAACCCAAATACACATAACATATAGTTTCCTTTGTCCTAAGCATTCCATTCCTTTGTTCCTTTCAAATGAACCCTATCAAATTTTTACAGCGGGTTTTCAGCGTCCCTATATTTATACTCCCTGTTTGTTTGTTTGTTTTTAGTCTTTTGCTAAACTTGAACCAAAAATAAACCATGTGGTCGTCAGGCTAGACAAAGGAAAGGCAGGTTAAAGAGCTGTAGCACTCAAGAAATTGTGAACACTGAGAGAACGCCAAACCTGGGGACACAGGAGGTAATCTATGTAATTCAGGGGTCCTAACATCCAGGAGGCAGGTTGAGTTTAGCTCTGTTACTAATGTGTCACCCTTAAAAGAAAAGTAAACAAAAGTATAGAAATCAAAAAGGAAACTTTCTTCTCACAGGGGATGTTAGAAGGTGTGTTTTGTGTTCTTTTGTTTTTCGTTATTAGGCAAAGAAGCAATTAAGCAGGTGAGAAACAACCCCATGGAAACATGAAAAGTAGAGAAAACCTGTCCAAAACATCTGCTTAAAAATTCTGAAGTGGGAAGATTAGAGGTTGATAAAAAGAAATATATTCTGCAATAGGTTTAACACCTGCTCACTGAATCCCCTAATGCTCTGGGCTGTGTGGTGTTCTCCAAATCATGGCTAAGTCTGTCAATCAGGAAATCATTTAAATGAGGCCAAAACACCTTGTGGCAAAAACAACAGTAATAAAAACTTCAGGGACCAAAGAACTCTGGAACATGGAAGATGTACATACAGAACAAAAGCACAGATTTTCATTTATGTTTCTTGCAGTCATGACTTGGATATTCCTTGACTTCTTAATTTATTTT
Source organism: Homo sapiens (assembly GCF_000001405.40). NCBI lineage: Eukaryota > Metazoa > Chordata > Mammalia > Primates > Hominidae > Homo > Homo sapiens. The sequence continues at coordinate 80,490,465 of NC_000003.12, forward strand.
CAACAGAAAACACAGATTTTATTTTTCCATTGAGACTTTTTTGTTCCCTTCCTCTCTTGAACTTTTTATTAGAATTTATTCCTAGGTTTACAAACTTAGACTATAAAAATATTATTTTCTTCATGCTATGATCATTTTCAACTCTTTCTTTCTATAATTTTGGCCTGCTGACACACTGTATCATTATTATTTCAAAGTAGTTACAGCAGAAACAATGTTCAGCTTTTAAAATTTATTTCTATTTAAATACCATATATGAGTTTTAAAGACAACTTACAAATTTAAATTCCCAGAGTTCAATATTTCCTTTCTGGCAAAAGATTTATTTTAAAAAATTTATGTTTGCTGGCAGTTTTACTTATTTATGTTTTCTATTCTAGAATAAGTGATAATTTGAATTTTTATGACTGCCACTTTAGAGTAAATATAAATACAATTTTTTTTCTGCTTCAACTTTTATTTCAGGTTCAAGAGCTACATGTGTAGATTTGTTACATGGGTAAATTGCGTGTCACTGAAGTTTGGTGCACAAGTGATTTAAATTGTACATCAAATGAAATTATATTGAAGTATCTTTCCATACCTTATTACTGCTTTGATTGTTTTAATACTGTTCAAATATATTTTTTTGTTGTTAGATACTCTCAGTAAATGGTTTCTAAGTAGCAGTACAAAAACCAAAAAAAAATTGTAATATAAAGGTTAAAAATTTAATAAAATTATATTTTGAGTTTCATATTTGATTATGTAAATAATGTTACCAATTTTCTTACAAAAGATGAGTATATATTTAAATAAATTCTATTTAAATAGATAGCATTTGGAGTTTGTATTTTAGATATAAAAAAGGCAATTATAGAAAATAGCAAAATTATTTACTTTTAAGCATAAATTATTTCAAGTTGTCTTAGTTGTTTCAGTGGCTGCAACAGTGGTTGAGTGAGTGTAAGACTATTATCTTTTGGTTTTCAGTGGCCCTATATTTTTACTTCCTATTTGGAGTACAGAAAAATTGTCTTAAACCAGCACCTTTCCTTTTTCTAACCTGATGACCACAAGGTTTCTTTTTATGTCTATCTAGCAACAGACTAAAAACAAAAACAGGGAGTATAAACATAGGGATGCTAAAAACCTGAAAACCGAAAGATAATAGTCTTACATTTTTAAAATTTTAAATGTGTCCATTTATTTAAATCTCCAAGATTCTTAGCAATGCTTGTTAATAATGTCTTGTATCACTAGAAGGAATTATGTTCTCCCTAAATAGTTAGGTGCTTCAGTGACATAAATGTGGTAATGAGTCAACTGTCAGCTAATGCAACACACACCGAACCTGATATCAGAATCACTGTGTTCTGGTCACTGTGTTTTGATTTCTCTGAATCTTATTTCATCAGCAGCAAAAGTGAAAGATTAAAGTGAAGTTTGGTTTTACACCATGTCAATTTTGTATGTATTTATTTCCCTCAAGTTGCCCATTCTAGACGATGTCCTGGCATGTGTATTCAAAATGAGCCCACAGATAATACACAGAGAGCCACATTAGTCCACTAAATCATGGAGGAATCAAAGTCTCTCTCTCTCTCTCTCTCTCTCTCTCTCTATATATATATATATATATGTATATATATATATATAAACAACAAGAAACATAAATGAAAACCTGTGCTTTTGTTCTGTATTTACATCTCCCATGTTCCAGAGTTCTTTGGTCCCTGAAGTTTTTATTACTGTTGTTTTGGCCACAAGCTGTTTTGGCCTCATTTAAATGATTTCCTGATTGACAGACTTAGCCATGGTTTGGAGACATATACATATATATCACTGGACTGCTACCTGACATACCTTCTGCTCAGCTCTGTCCTCTCTTCATCCTGACTAATATTCCAGGAATCTGGAATCTGGTCCTATTCCAGGCTAGGACCTACTTCCTGCTACCTGACATACCTTCTGCTCAGCTCTGTCCTCTCTTCATCCTGACTAATATCCAGGAAACTGGAATCTGGTCCTATTCCAGGCTAGGACCTACTTCTGCCTCAATGTAGTCATCTTCTCAAGATATCATTTATCAAGTTTTAATATAAAAGGGCTCCTCCTAGGTAAGAAGGGAAACCTGGATTGTGTGTACTCTTAAGGACCTTTCCATTCATTGGCATTGCGATTGGTAGCCCGTTAATCAGAATTATGCTTCTGATTGTGTGTACCTTTATTATACAAGAAAATCTCATGAAATGTCAGACATTTTTATAGTAAGAATAGTGGGAGATGGGAAACTTTTTATCACCATCTTTGTTTTACCTCTTAAAAAACTTGATGTGGCAAAATGGAAGTTCAGCCCTGATACTTTTTGGTTTCTTCATGAGTTTGGGACTGTGACAGCAGCTTATTCTCCAGTAAAATCCTTAATTAGATTACAAAAGAAAATTTAATGATATAATTTATTGTATATGTCTACATACTCTCTTCAACTATTAGAATGTCTCCAATATTTACATAACTCTTTCAAAGTAGGTATTATTAAGTCAGTTGATGCTCAGATAAATGAAGTCAGCAGACCTTGTTTGCAAAGCTAGTTGGTTGCAAAGCTAATTGCTTGCAAAGCTAGTTGGTTGCAAAGCTAGTTAGTGGCAAAGTATTAGCACCCAGTTCTTCTAATATATAATTTTTGTTTGTTTTTTTCTACCACCTGTTACTCATTTAAATAAGAGAAAATCTTGGCTAAAGTAGTTCTTCCTAAAGCAGATTCATTAAGGAGCTCTCCAGTAAGCAGAGTCCTGATGGTGACCACCCTCTCTGAATCACATGAAGCCATCCCACTAAAATTCCTACAACCAGTCCAATCAGAGCCCTTCTGTGTGCAAGGTAGCCTCTAATTCTTGAGATCTTGCTTTGCTGCCTGGAAAAGGAATGGGTACCAGGAGCTTCTCTTCTACTTAGAGATATACAACTAAAGTCAAGTAATTTCATCTGTCTGGACTCAAGAGTTCTTGTGTGCATGATACAGGGAATGAGCTGGATTTTCAGTAGAATTGCTTTCCCTTCTGTACATCTGTGCAAGTTCTCTGCAGAGCACCATGAGCAGTGATCAAATAATTGCATTTGAGTTTCTCCTCACCTACATTTATCTTATGTCTTTACTTCTTCTAGGTGTCTTCTCTAGATTTAGGATCTATTTTCTTTCTTAATAGATTACAATCAATATCACAGTGCAAAATACTATTTAAGTTGATGTGGCAAAGTTGTGGAGGGAATTGGAAATACTGAAGAAGGGACTATTTGCATAGTCAGATATAGTTATTTTTAAAAAGTTACTGTTTATCTAATTTAACTTACAATAAACTTATCTCTTGTTTAGACTAAATTAGAGGTTTGGGGCAGTAGGAAAGGTGACAGTACCAAGATTTAATATAAATAACAGAGTAGATTGGGAAACAAAATGTCCACAAATTATTTTTAAAAGAGGAATCATGAGTGGATCAAGCTTGAAGCCATATATAAAATCAACAGTCAATTTGACATTTTAACAATTCACCTGTGGTCTTTTCTCTAGAAATTTCAGTAGGTATGGTGCAGTGAAGTAAAGGCAGCTCAGTGTAGTAGAGTGTTCAGGCTTTAAAATTCAGAAGTGGCCTTCCTCAGATGAAGAATTCAGAGTTTCTTATTTTAGGGCTGCAATAACAAATTATCACACATTGGGTGGCTTAACACACGAGAAAAATATTATCTTACAGTTCTGGAGGTCAGAGTTCCAAATCAAGGCATCATTAGAGCCAAACTCCCTCTAAAGCAGGGGTCCCCAACACTGGGACGTGGACAGGTGGCTGGGTATTGGTCTGTTGCCTATTAGGTACTGGGCCTCACAGAAGGAGGTAAGCAGTGGGCAAGAGAGAATTACCGCCTGAGCTCCACCTCCTGTCAAATCAGCAGGTGCATTAGATTCTCATAGGAGCATGAAGCCTATTGTGAACTGTGCATATGAGGGATCTAGGTTGCACACTCCTTATGATAAGCTAATGCCTGATAATCTGACGTGGAACAGTTTCATCCCCAAGCCCTCCACCCCCAACTTCTTCCAGGAAACCAGTCCCTGGTGACTAAAAGTTTGGGGACCACTGCTCTAAAGGCTTTAGAGGAGAATTCTTCCTTGCTTTTTCTGGTCTTTGGTGGTGCCAATCATTCCTTATCTGGCAGCTGCATAACTCCAACTCTGCCTCCACTTTCACATAACCTTCTCCTTCTCTCTGTGTGTCTCTTCTCCTTTTAAGGACACGTTGGATTTAGGGTCCATGTGGATTATCCAGAATGATTTCCTTTTGAGATTCTTAATTTAATTATATTAACAAAAATTATTTTCCTAAGTAAGCTCACACTCACAAGTTTTGGAGATTAAGACATAGATTTCTTTTTTTTTTTTTTTTTTTGTCTACTGTCTTAGTTTTCTTAGGCTGTCTTAATAAAGTATCACAGGCAAGTGACTTAAGAGAAATGCATTCTGTTATCCTTCTGGAAGCTAGAAATTAGATTGAATTTCTTTGGAAATTAGAGTTGGTTTCTTCAGAGCTCGCTTTCCTTGGCTTTTAAGATGGCTGTTTTCTCCCTGTGTTTTCACATGGTCTTCCCTCATTACCTGTTTCTAAATTTCCTCTTTGTATAAGGATATCAGTCAAATTGGTTTAGGGACAACTCTATTGACCTTATCCCAATTTAATTACTTCTTTAAAGTGTCTGTCTTCTAATACAGTCACATTCGGAAGTAGTGGGTATTAGACCATTAACATATAAATTTGGTGGGAAACACAATTCAAACTGTGATAGTCACCCTCCAAATACAGAGCCTAATTAAAAATCCTCGCTACTTTATTTTATATTGAAATGACTTAGCAGACATTTATGAAGAGCTGAATGAGGATAGGGTAAGAATAATGATATGCTTATGTTGGAGAGATTCTGCAAAGATAGAGTAAGAGATTTAGTGTGATGCAAGCTCTGTCAGAAGAAGAAATCCTCTCTGTGTTGAAACTTAGAGCTGTTTTCATGCATGGTATATTATAGGTGCTCAATAAATACTTGTTGTAGAATGAATGAGAGATGTGCCTCACAAATATTCATGCTTCATAAATAAAAACAACATGCAGGGTATAGCTGAACCTGTTTCCTTATATTCACTATACCAGCAAACTAGCTGGGAGCTGCATAACATAAGAAAAAAGCTACCTGTGTTGATTAGGCAAGAAGTATAAGATATGACACTTTCCAAAGTATATCTTTATATATTTAATTCATCAGCAATCCTTTTGGGTAAGTGCATTCTTTTCTTATGTTACAAATTATTTTAAAATGGCTCACCCAGTAACTTATATTTATGTCAACAGTTTTATAAAGTGAATGCAAATATGGGGTCAATTTCACTGGATATGGAAAGGGAAGAAGAATGAATATGGTTTCCAAATATTTCTTTTATTTCATCATTGTTAGAATTACTTTATAGATTTTCCTTCTCCAAAGAATCCATAGACGTTACCTCTAGAATCTCATACAGAATTTGTTGTGACAGTATCAACAAATAATTTAATATTCTTCCTGTGTCATATATAAGATGAATAAAGTCATAAAGACCAACATTTCCTATAAAAGGGGATACATTGCTATGGAAGTAAGGGTTCACAAAGCTTAACTTACACATATGGAAAAATAATTGCAAGATGATATATTTTGGGAAGAATAAACCAAGACAGGCCTATCTGAATTCCATTTTGAATTAAATGCCAGGATCTCAGTAACAATTGGTCTTATCGACTTCTTTGGATGGACAACTTTCTAAGTATATAGAAAAATCTTTATTTATATATCTGACTAGATATGGTAATTTAATTCCATCAAGTGAAACTTATGAGACATTCTCAAATCATTTCTTCATTTATTGATAATTATTTAATGAGCATTAATAACATGTTTAGAGATGAAATATGTTACAGGGAAATAGATCACTTCCACCTTCACAAGTTGCCCTTTTGTCACAGGATCCTTAGGGTGTTGCTTCACCAGGCAGAAACCTCTGTGGCTGGTGGCACCTATGCTTGTGTTTCACTTGCATGTGCTAAGCTTGTTCTGTCCACTTGGTTGGGCAGGCTGCGCTCAGCTTGTGCTAACTGCTTGGATCCCATGTCTGCAAAGGGTGAGCCAGGCACAGAGTGCCAAGGGGTGTGTGAGTGAGTGAATGTGGGATCCAGCCACTGTGCACACCCTTGTAGGCCAGCTGTGGTGGCATGGGCAGCTCCAGGCACTGGCGCAGGTGCTGGCTCTGTGTGAGGCTGTGGCTGGACCAGATGTAACACAAGCAGCTTCCACTGTGGGCAGCAATGTCCGGACAAGGGGAACATGATGGAACCCAAAAGTTCAGAGACACTAGGAAAAGCAGAGCCCCAGAGGGTGTTACAATGTGTCACAGTCCTGGGTCAGGGCATCCTGAGGTTTGGGCTCCCAGAGGGTAGCAGCTCTTCTCTCCTTGTAGTCCACAAGGTGGCAAGCAGGGGACAAGTTTTAGTCCTGTTTGTGTTACAGCTCTTTCATTTCTGCCATTTGGAGGGTCCCAAGTTCTTGCCTCATATCCAGGAAGAATAAGGTATGCAGACAACTGGAAGATGTGCAAGGCAGAGAGGAGCTGCATTGAGCAGCAGAATAGCTCTCAGGAGACCTGAAGTGGGTGGCTACTTTCCACAGGATGGTCATCCCAAAAGACTGTCCACCTCTCAGCTCAGAGGAAACTTATTCAGAGGAGTAAGTAGCTCCTTTCCCAATTTGTGTGTTAGTCTGGCTGAGTCTGGGGTTTTTATGTGCTCAGAATGAAGATTGTGTGTACTGATTGGTCCATGGGCAGCCATGGGAGGGCCTGAAGAAAGCACCATCTGATTGGCCAAATGGTCATCAATGAAGTCCTGACTCTGAGCTACAGACTTGGCCCAGAACTAGCATCCCAGCCTCCAGGCTTCAGGCTGTCTCTGGCCTGAAGCTGGGGTTTCACTGGGGAGACCTTCTCATTCCTGCCTAGGAACTTGTCTACCTTTAACATGCTTACATGGCACCCAGGCTGTCCATGCCAAGAGGCGCTTGCAGTTCCCTGCTGAGCCACACTCACCACTCCCAGCTCCCCTCCCATGCTCATGTGCTCCTAAAGTCCAGAGGGGTCTGAGGCAGCAGCCGGTGGGTGTATCAGAACCACCCTGAGCATGCACACCCAGCTGGGTTCCAGCAGCATCCAGGCTCAGCCATAACTTTGTTCTGACCCACAGCGGGTGCTGGGAGAGGGTAGAGGCCAGGAAGGGGGAGCAGGCACTTTCACGTATGCAGGGGTTAGGAGCTTCCTGGGCCCCTGACAGTGAAGGGATGCTCAGGTCTGGATCCCAGCTGGGCAACTGCAGCTGTGCCGAGGAGCTCAGGGCTCCCCCTCAGCCAACTCAGTAGGTGGCAGGGCTCTCACCTGTCCCCAGCCCCCATGGGCTCCACAGAGCACACAGGTCCAGCCATGCATCCATCACTGCAGCTGGTGTCCCTGCAACAGCTACTCCAGATGGGCTGCCACCAACATCACTTGTAACCAAGAAATACAGATACTGTTATTCTACTCTAAGAGTGTGCCATATGAAGGCCATTGATTCAGAATTTAATTCATTTTCCTGTGAACAGTTTCCCAGGTTATAAAAATATGGGAGTTTGGTAGTATGCTACAATTATTTTTCAGTTAGACTCGTGAGTAGTTCTGCATGAATTCTTATGCAGAGAAGCTGCAAAAAACAAGTCCACAGGACAAAAGTAGCTTGAGTGTGTTTTGTGTAAGATTTTCTCTCCAAGCAGGGAAGAAGAGATTCAGGACTTCTGCAGGACAGAGTAAGCAGTGCCATCTCAACAGGGTGATTGTCATTACTCCCCATTCCAAAACCTCAGGGGGTTTCTAGTGAATCACAGAGTAAAAGTAGGATGTGTCCACTGCTGCCCTGACTCATGGGTAATTTTTCAACTGGTTATACTCATCTCCACTTCGTGTCACCAGTCTTTCCTTTTATGCATTTATTGAGATGAAAGTTGTCCTGCCTTTAACACACACACACACACACACTCACACACACACACACACACACACACACACACACATTTTTAGGAGCCTTAAGTCAAGCTTGAAAATTGACAAGGCTTGACAACCAGACTTGTCAAATGTAAATTGTTCATATCTAAGAATCAAAATAGAAAATGTTAAATGGAGAATCTCATCTCTGTTCCCTGGTTCTCTTGATAGGAGCTTCTTTCATCTTGCATTTTGAGAACTGTAGTCGCTCCTCACCAAACTTTTCTAGTTTACGAAGCCTTTTTATTTCTCTCATTGTCCTCATTTCAAGTCTAATCTAAATTTCACCAAGTTCTCTGATCTTGATTCTGAATCGTTCTGCCCTGAGAACACTCATCATCTTCTTAGTATCAGTGTGGCCTTGGAAGGAGCAAAATTACAAAATAACAGTATTAGTAAGAGAGCAGAGGAGAAAAGACATATGCAGAGGGTGTACAATTTAATCAATTCAACTGTAAGAAGCTGCCGCAGCATATTTTCCCAAGCTGATCACATCCTTGGCCTCAGATTCCTTCTTATACCATCTTCATTCATTTTTTAAACAACGACTTAACATTATTTAAGTGACTGAATATCACTTTTTAGATTCCAGAAGAAGAATCAAAAGAAGTAAAATAAATCATCTCTCAATGAAGGCAATAAATCAACATGGCTACAAGGCAGTAAGGGATAATTCCTCAGGAGACTATTAGCAAATATGTAATAGTTTAAAGATAATACCAATGTGTGTTTGTGTGTGTGTGTGTGTAATTGCTTTTAAAATGTAAAGAAATTGGTGCAGAACGATGAAATATTCAGCGTTAAAGCAACCTTATCAGTGAGACCTTCTCCAAACACTAAATCTAAATATGTCTCACCCCATATTTTTTATTTTAATTTATTGTTTGTTCCTTTTAATGTATTTCACATTTTTAAAATACTCTTTACTTCTCTCTGGTTTGCCTCCTCCACTTGATAAACTCTTAAAGTGAGGATTTTGTTTCATTCACCACTAGCCACATAAAGCCTAGCAAAACGCTTGTTGCAAATAATGTTTAAGTGATTAATTAAACTAACAAAGATACGAAATTTGAAATTTCACTGAGTTTTCTCCCTTATTTAAACTTGTTATACTCCAATTAAAGGTTCAGAATACTCTTTTTTTAAAAAAGTGTGCAGTATTTATGTGAGTAGGGAAAAATAGTTACAGATTTAGATAGAGCTGGAAAGTCATTGTTTAGGGAGAATGGAAGTGTGCATTAAATTACTTATTAAGTCCTCACTAATCTGCAGGGATACATGCTCAATTCTGGGTAAAGTGACTTCCTGTCATAAAATGATCCATAATTAATGGGGAAGATTGGCATTTAAACAACTCCAAGACATGTTACTCTGTTGCACGAGCAAGAACAAGGGGAAGACTCTTAGGATAAGACAGAAATGTTTTTGCAGGGATGACCTTTAGTTTTGATCATTAATATTGAGCTAACATTGTACTTGTGGAAAGAAAGAGAAAACACTCTCTAGAAAGACAAAGAGTGAAAGGGCATAGTGTTGTCAGGAATACCAAAGAGTTAGATGCAACATTCATGGCATGTGCAGGGTAGGTGAGGACAAACGGGGGCAAGGAACGGGCAATTTCTGGTCCTCAATTGCATTGAAGGTGTTGATCTACTATTTTCTGTCTTCACCAAGATTATAGTAAATAGAGATGATTTAGGTGGAAGCTAGTGAAATTTAAATAAGAATTTCAAGGAAGATGTTAGACTTTCCATCATTGATAATCTTGCAGACAACTAGTCTCTTTCTATAGTCTAGATTAGTTTGATAATGGAGAAATAGAAGAGATACTATCAGGGTCATTTTGTTTCTTCCGAATATAATGTCTTGTGAGGAAATAACTGTTTTTGTAATTTAATATGTGAAACTGGAGGTTGAGATTACAACTGTAGAAATGGGAATTTTGAAAACTTAAATTCCTACTACAAATGTTTTTCTATAGTTCTCATTTATGTATAAATTTATAATTTACTGATTACAGCCCAAAGATAAAGCTTTATTTGGAACAAATATAAATATTCATCTCGCTTGTCTCCTTTTACATGGTAGGTAAAATCACTGAAATTTCAGAGACATGCACAGTTGTTTCTATAATACTGTAAAAGATAAAATGTTACTATTTTTGTCAAGACTTTTAAACCTTACACTGATTTCTGGGTAATAAAGGTAATAAATCATTTAATTTATCATGTATTTTTAAAAACCTTTTTGATAGATAAGGATCACCATGAAGATAACTTAAATATTCCTAATTTACTACTTGGAGAAACACCCTGAAGGCTGAGAGAAAAATGTAGCATTTAATACCACAACACGCTAACTTGGTAGAAATAAGCAGAGGCAATGAGGAGGGGAGCTGGGACCTCCAGGAATGCACCACAGGCTCACATTTCAAATGCCGAAATCTGGAGGCAGAGCCATGGTCTTTATAAGGTATCTTAGTCCATTCAGACTGCTATAACAAGATACCATAAATGGAGCGGCTTACAAACAATTGAAATTTATTTCTCACAGTTTTGGAGGCTTGGAAATCCAAGATCAAGGTGCTGGCAGATTTGGTGTATGGTGGGGCCCAATTTCTGGTTGAGAAATGATGCATTCTAACTTTGTCCTCATGTGATGAAAGGGGCAGGGCAGGGTTTGGTTGTTGTTGTTGTTGTTGTTTTTGAGACAGAGTCTCGCTCTGTTGCCCAGACTGGAGTGCAGTGGTGTGATCTCGGCTCACTGCAAGCTCCACCTCCCAGGTTCAAATGATCCTCCTGCCTCAGCCTCCCGAATAGCTGGGATTACAGATGTGCATCATCAAGCCCAGCTAATTTTTGCATTTTTAGTAGAGACGGGGTTTCACCATGTTGGCCAGGCTGATCTCGAACTCCTAGCCTCAAGAGATCTGCCCACCTAGGCCTCCCAAAGTGCTGGGATTGCAAGCATGAGCCACCATGCCTGGCCAGGAGGACACTAATCCTATTCATGAGAGCTTCATCCTGATAATATTATCACTCCACAAAGGCCCCACCTCTTAATACCAGCACCTTGGTAATTCCACATGTAAATTGTGGGTAGACACAAATGTTCAGACCACAGCACAAAGTGACAGTGCCTTCTATTTCCCTGAGATTATGTATGCCATGCACACTGTGGTCATGTTCTGTATTCTTCACATGGCTATTCTAATGATCATATTCTCCACTATTATACTATACTTTCCTCAAATCTCACACATATCTTGCAATGGGAAATGAACCTTATAGTGGGAAAGTCTACAAGGCCTTCTTTCTCCTGCACATTTAGCTATCGAAATGATTCCCTCATCTCAATCTTTCTGAGCCATTTTTCTCAAGACACTCTATCGTTGTTTTTTTAATATTCATGGTAAGAAAATAGTTAGCATTTCTGTCTTTAAAGTTATTCCCAAGAGATCCAAAATAAATTAAAATGAGGGCTCTGTTTATGGGCAATCAATTGGGCCCATGTACTGTTTGGGTTCCCCAGCCTCATATCCTTCTAGGCCTGGCCCTATCTTAACATAAATATTTATTCTCCCTTAAAAGTACCAGACCTCACCACTATGCAATATATCTGTGTAACAAAATTGCACTTGCACCCCTTAAATTTATACAATTTTTAAAATGCCCATTTTGTTTATTACTCTCTCCTTTTCAACATTCTCTGGACTTTGCCCACTCTAGTATTCCTTTAATTGATTGCATTTCCTTTCTTCTTTTTTTTTAAATTGTACTTTAAGTTCTGGGGTACATATGCAGGATATGCAGTTTTGTTACATAGGTATACACATGCCATGGTGGTTTGATGCACCCATCAACCCATCACCTATATTAGGTATTTCTCCTAATGCTATCCCTTCCCTAGCCCCTCATCCCCCGACAATCCCCAGTGTGTGATGTGCCCCTCCCTGTGTCTAGGAACTCTCATTTTTTCCTAAGAGTTTCATGTCTATATAAACTCACACACATGTGTGTACACATCTCCCTTTCCACGCTTTCTATCTTCCTTATATCATTCAATTCCTCATAGCTGAACTTCTCAAAAGATACTCACTGTCTCTCTTTTTTTTACCATCCATGAGCTTCTTAGTCCTCACCTTAGTTCCTCTGATTCTTGCATGAAAAAAAAAAGACAGTGATACAAACTGAAAAGACAGTGATACAAACTGAAAAGACAGTGATACAAACTGAAATTTAGTGCACTCCATGTCTCTGTGGCAGTTTTCTGACTTCATTTCAAATTCAACATATTCTTTATATGACATTTCCTTGTGCTTGTGTTACTATTCTATACTAGACTCTGACCACTGGAGGTGGTACCAGTGGTCCCTTACCTTCACATTCTAAGAGAAAGCATACAAACATGATTTTATCTCCGTTAGGTTTCTTCTAACTCTCCTCTTCCTTTGAGAACAGTGCCAAATTTAGGCTTTGGAGGCTCAAGCCTAAGCTTCCGTAATTCTATAATCATATAACAATTTTTTTCTGAGTACTGTATAACCAAAACAATGCCATGACAAAATTAATTATTGCACCAATATACTTTCTTGCTCAGTTTATCTGTGTTGACTCGTCTTCTCGACCAAAAACCTTCATCAGTAGAAATTTGAAAGATAGATTCTGCAACTCCATGTGCCTCTATGACAGTATTATATTAACAACGGTCTACTCCGGGTCATTTATATCCTCATCTATTAATTTGTTCCAACAGAAGACAGTGTACATGTCAATTTCCCTGCTCTGAGGTGAAATGTAAGGAGCACAAACACACACACAAATCAAGACTGTAAACAAGATCGAGATAATCAAATGGCTTCCAGAGAGGAAATGTGTGCTGTAAAGTTTGGGTGACCAGGAACACTAACAACTAAGAACAATTTTTATAACATTTTCTCTCGTCTTTAAAACAAATTCTTGCTTTTGAAACTTGATTAGAAAGAAGTTCTTTCCAATCAACATTCTAGATATATAAATTTTACAATGGTATCAATACACTAATTTATTATTACAGAGAAACCAATTAACTAAGGCCTATTTTTCATTGTGACCCAAGCCGCCTTGCAGGCAGAGAGCTGTGTAGCTGGCTAGCATACTGAAGATCAGTTATTTTGTTATTGCTACTAAGTCCCTGTGGAAGATAAGGTTTTATTTGTTGGAAAATGCTCTAAGATACTTGTTACAAGTGAAACATAAAAAAAAAACTTAGCAGATATTAGAAAAAGCCATTCCACTCTTATCTTTTATTCTTTAAATGGCTCAAAATAGGATTAATTTTATATATATATATAAAAAACTAATTATACTTTTAGCATCAAATAAATACATCTTTTTAAAGACTTGTTTAGAGCAGTTTCAGGTTTACAGCAGAATTGACTGGAAGGTACAGAGATGTCTGATAAAACTCTTACCTCTACACATGCATAGTCTCAGCAATTATCAATATCCCCAACCAGAGTGGAACATGTTACAACTGATGAATCTACATTAGCATATCATTGCCACTCAGAGTCCACAGTTCACCTCAGAGTTCACTCTTTGTTTTGTATGTCCTATGAGATTAGACAAACGTATATTGACATGTTTCCACCATTTTGGTATTCCACACAGTATTTTCACAAAGGTAAAATATCCTCTATGCGTCGCCTATTCATTCCTCCCTCTCTGCAAATCCCTCACTGTTTTACTGTCTCCATGGTTCTTGCCTTGTCCAGAATGTCATATACAGTCGTCTCTTGGTTTGCATGGGGGAATGGTTTCAGGACGCAGCTTGTTTACCAACATCTGTGCCTACTGAAGCATCACTTGAATACTGCATTTTCAATATGCGTTTGCTTGAAAATGAATTCTTTGTCTAAGTGGACCCACGCAGTTTAAACCCATGTTGTTCAAAGGTCAGCTGTAGTTGGAATCATATCATATGTAACTTTTTCAGATTGACTTCTTTCACTTAATAGTAACCATTTAAGTTTTCCCCATGTCTTTTCATGGCTTAATAGCTTATTTCTTTTTAGCATTGCCTAACATTGTATTGCCTAAATATATCACAGCTTATTTATCTATTTACCTACTGAAGAGCATCTTGGTTGCTTCCAAGTTTGGCAGTTATGAACAAAGCTGCTATAAACATCCATGTGCAGCTTTTGAGTGGACGTATGTTTTTAACCTCTTTGGGTAAATATAAAGGAGTATGATTGCTGGAATGTGTGGTAAGGGCATGTTTAGTTCTATAAGAGGAAGCCAAACTGTCTTCAAAAGTAGCTCTACCATTTTCCATTCTACCAGCAATAAATGAGAACTACCGTTGTTCCACATCCTTGCCAGCATTTGATGTCATCACTGTTCTGGATTTTGGCTATTCTAATAGATAGGTATTGGAATCTCATTGTTTAAATCTGCATTTCCCTGATGACATATGATGTACAGCATGTTTTTCTATGTTTATTTGCCATCTGTATGTCTGTTTTGATGATATATGTCTGTGGGTCTTTGGCCTATTTTAATGAAATTGTTTCTTTTCTTACTGAATTTTCAGAGCATGTTATACATTTTGGAAATGTATAAATACATTTATCAGATATGTATTTAAAATATTTCCCTTATTCTGCAACTTGTCTATTTATCATCTTGATGGTTTCTTTCTCAGAGCAGAGTTTGTTTTTAATTTTAATGAAGTCCCTCATCAATTATTTTTCATGGATTGTGCCTATGGTGTCATATCTAAAACGTCATCACAAATCTGAAAGTCATTATCGACTTTCTCCTGTGTTCCCTTCTAGAGTTTTATAGTTTTGCATTTTATATTTAGGTGTGCAATCCATTTTCAGTTTTTTTTTGTTAAGGGTGTTAGAGTATGTGTCTGGATTTATTTTATTTATTTGTTTATTTTTTTTACATGTGGATCTCTACTTGCTGAGGACCATTGATTAAAAGAAGTATCTTTGCTCTATTGTATTGTCTTTGCTTCTTTATGAAAGATCAGTTGAGTATATTTATGTGAATTTATTTCTGGGATTTCCATTCTGTTCTATTGATCTGTCTATTCTTTCACCAAAACCTCACTGTCTTGATTACTACATCTTTGCAACATATGATATAGTAAATAAGTCAA
This sequence comes from Homo sapiens, assembly GCF_000001405.40. Taxonomy (NCBI): domain Eukaryota; kingdom Metazoa; phylum Chordata; class Mammalia; order Primates; family Hominidae; genus Homo; species Homo sapiens. The sequence goes on from NC_000003.12 coordinate 80,505,736, forward strand.
AGTTGTGTATTCTCAGTCCGCCAACTTTGTTGTTTTTCATTCTTGTGCTGGCTATTCTGGGTCTTTTGCCTTTTCATGTAAACTTTAGTATCAGTTTGTCAATACCCACAAAACAGCTCATTGGGATTTTTATTGGGATTGTATTGATGCTATGGGTCAAATTGGAAAGAACTAATATCTTAACAATAACAATTCTTCTTATACATGAAATTTAAATATCTTTATTTAATGATTTGTACCACCATTTTTTAAATTCAATCTGTAGTACTGTAAAATCTTTTGAAAATCTCTAATTTTGGTAGATTTTATCCTTAAATTTTCTGGGTCTTTTAAACAAAAAATTAGGCAGGTTATATACAACTTCTATGATATTGTAAAACAGAAATGTTACCGAGAACTTGTTCTTCTTTTTCTTGGAAAATATTATAGATTTTAGGGAAAACATATTCTATGTATAATCATTTTTTATTTTTCAAGTAAGTTGGCATCACCATGGGTATTCCTGAGTTTCAATTAGAATAGTAAAAATATTCAGTACTATCTCAAGGAGAAATTTATTTATTTGAGACTAAGAATTTTAAAAAATATTTCCAAAGTTACATGGACACCATATTTAGACAAAACACATAATAATCCATGACTTGATTATATTCGGTTATTACATTAGTGCTTACTTTGTCATTAATCCTAACATTCTTTTATATAAAGAAATGGTACAAAAAAAGATGAGATGCTTTTCTGAATGCGTGTAATTAGGGAATACTATTATCTGTTTAGGCTAAGTAAGTATGAATTTGGCACATTGCATAGGATCACACTTAAAATATACTATAACAGCTTGTCTTATGTAAAGTAATCAAGGACATTGTGTGAATTGTGTGTTCAGCCGTCTCTTTTCATGCACTCCAATTTTGATATGATTCTCTTGTCCACACACGTTTCTTGCGCCACTCATAGGATTTTCTCAATGTTGACCTATCTTAGTTTATATATATATATACACATATATATATACACATATATATACACATATATACACATATATATACACATATATACACATATATATAAACATTTGCTTCGTGCTAGTACATAGTAATTATTCACTTTGTAGTTTATATTTTATTAACAGGAATTTAACTCAATGCTATGGCTATTTAACTACATGGAAACGATTTACTGATAAATACAATGTTACTGACAAATATTCTCAGCATTGTCTTATAAATAATACATATGTATTTTAGTTTATTCATTAGGAAATATAAATATAGCACTGGAAAGTATTTATATTTCCATGGCTGTTATTTGCTACAAATGAATTTAATCCAATTTAATCCAACGTTGGCTTCATTTAATAATAACTATTTCTAGTGAAAAGACATTATTTCAATAACTATTATTTTCATAATGAAATTTACAGAAACGTTAAGCATCGTATGAAAGTTAAAAACAAAAGCTATATTTGTCCTGCTTTTGGTAGCAGCAGTGTTGAAAGACAGAGAATGGTCAATCTTCAGATGAGTCATAAGAAGAATTAAATTCAAGGACTATTGCACTCCATATGTGACCCAATTGTCTCAAACCCCTATTGTAACTGAAGCCAAAAAGGGATAAAACAGATATTGAAAATGAAATTAGAAATACTGATATTTGAAGTGAAAAATTAGCTTTTCAGACTCAGAGCATGTATTGGTAGCAGTGAAATGGATGAAGGCAATGCTCTCTGTGTATCTTGGAGAGGAAGATGCTATATTGTTTGGTTCTGTTTTTTGTTTGTTTTTTAACTTACAAAATTTTCATTCTTTCCTACCCGAATGTTTTAAAACAAAGGTAAACAAAGCTATTTATTTGAATATTCAATGCTAAAATAGTAATGTGGCATTTGTGATATTCCAGTTGAATGCAATTTCTTCTATCCTCTTCTCTCTTATTCACTATCTATATACCTACTATATCTCTCTTTTCATTATTAAAATGCCACTCAGCAGAAAGAAGATAGAAGTTGTCAACATGACTTTTCAAAGCTATAAAGTTGGAAGTGTTGCTTGTTAGGATAAAACCTCTAGAGTAAAAAGTGAAATGTAAGGATGTTATTGTACCAGCTTGTTGAATGCATATGAGAACAGAGGCTATATTGTCAATTTATGGCATCAAAGTGGGAGTGAGGAGCACTAAAATTTGTCATTTCAGACCTCAGTACATTTTCAGGGGAGAAGATACTGAACCCAGGGAACCTGACCACTCAGTTGCTAGCAAAATAGAAATGTATTTTAAATATTTGAACTAGCAGCACTTTTAAAATAATTTTAGATGTGCCAAGAAATTTTATGAATGAAGCTTGGCTCCCTTTGTTTTATTTATAATTATAACTTAATAATTTATAATTCTCGTTTATTGAAGAAAATATTAGTAGAGAGGAGTTTTCTATCCCAATGTGTTGCTCATGTTAGTCATTGTTCCTCAATTTCTTATTCCACTTTTATCTGTCTGAAAAGTCACTTCCTTTCTTTAGTCCCACTCTTTGTGCTTTTTTTCAATAAGTGAAGCCCAAAATTCCCAGAGTTTATAACTTCTGATTTATTGTGAATACAACAATTTTTATGTATTCTATTATAGCATGGATCACAATGAGGTATAATTATATGGTTAAATGGCTGACTGCCATAACTCAAGGTGAGCTTTTCAAGAAGTGGGCCAATATTTTATTTTATTTTTTTAATTCTTAAAACTTAACATTTGTTCAGTTAGTCAATTGTTATTGTTGAGTTCCCAAATGAATGTTGAATGATGGCTGTTGAAAATACATTACAATATACTTTCTTTTATATTTCTTAATTTTTGTGGGTCCACAGTAGGTGTATATATTTATGGGGTACATGATATATTTTGATATGGTCACGCTATGTGAAATAAGCACATCATGGAGAATGGGGTATCCATCCCCTCAAGCATTTTCCCATTGGATTACAAACAAATTACACTCTTTAAGTGATTTTAAAATGTACAATTAAATTATTATTAACTATAGTCATGCTATTGTGCTATCAAATAGTTGGGTCTTATTCATTCTATTATTTTTTATACCCAACTCCTCCCCACATTTCCCACTAGCCTTCCAAGCCTGTGTTAACCATTCTTCTACTCTCTACATCCATGAGTTCAACTGTTTTGATTTTTAGATTTCACAAATAAATGAGAACAAATGATGTTTGTCTAAGAGTGTAAAATTAATTTAGAAAACAAAATAATTATTGAAAATAGTATAATGCCATTTGTTTCTATGATTTTAAGTACTAGAATTAAAGTAAGCACAATAATAGTGGCACAAGATGCTGTAAGGACAAGAAGGGTAAAATTTCATCAGAAATAGTAAGAAATGTCAAGATACAGTTTTCCTAAGTAAAAATTAGTGAACAATCCACAGAAAAGTATATTGTGTTATGAGCTCCTTTTATCTAGTGAAAAGTAATACTCTATGGTTGGATTTTGAAGCGCATGATCTTGATTTTGCTTTAAAGATATTAATATGATGGTTCTGAGCAAAATTTAACCAACAAGGTAGGGAATGAAAACAGTCCAACTTAAAGGGTTGTTTAAGATTTAGAAAGACTTTAGCTCATGCCTGTAATCCCAGCACTTTGGGAGGCCGAGGCAGGCGGATCACCTGAGGTCAGAAGTTCAAGACCAGCCTGGCCAACAAGGTGAAACCCGTCCCTATTACAAATACAAACAGTAGTTGGGCATGGTGGTGTGCCTGTAATCCCAGCTATTTGGGAGGCTGATATACAATAATCTCTGGAACCCGGGAGGCTGACGTTGCAGTGAGCCTAGATGGTGTCACTGTACTCCAACCTGGGCAACACAACCAGACTCTCTGTCTAAAAATAAAAATAAAAATAAAGATTTGGTAAGATTTTAGAATTTGGAACCATCAAAAATAATAGCTAAGGGATGAATTTTAAATTAGACCATACAGCCTAGTTAGACTATGCAACAAAAACTTTAAAAAGTATTACAGATAAAAGAAGAGTTTTGTTGTGCTTTGATATGTGATTTGCTTATCCTAGAAGACCTTAAACATTTTAATAAACTGAAGTGAAGAATGAATATACATTAAATGTTTTCAGTGCCAACGCTTTTTAAAATGTTGTGTTTACTATTTAAATTTTTGATATAAAGTCTTAATTACTAAGAAAGAAATTATTTTTTTCATAGAAAAAAATGACAAAATTACATTAGCTCTTGGATTGTGTAGTCTACTTCTCTACTGGAATAACAATTTTTGCACATAAAAATATTATAATAGTAACTTCAGAAATAGACTGCCTTTTTGGCAGGGAGCGGTGGCTCATGCCAGTAATCCCAGCACTTTGGGAGACCCTGGCGGGGGGATCATTTGAGGTCAGGAGTTCGAGACCACCCAGACAAACATGGTGAAACGCCATCTCTACTAAAAATACAAAAAAGTTAGCCGAACTTGGTGGTGCATGCCTGTAGTCCCATCTACTGGGAAGGCTGAGGCAGGAGAATAGGTTGAAGCCAGGAGGCGGAGGTTGCAGTGAGCCGAGATCATGCCACTGCAGTCCAGCCTGGGTGACAGCAAGACTCTGTCTCAAAAGGAAGGAAGCAAGGAAGGAAGGAAGGAAGAAAGGAAGGAAGGAAGGAAGAAAGGAAGGAAGGAAGGAGGGAAAGAAATATATTGCCTTTTTAAATATAAAGTAAGGATAATGGTAAGTTATTAGATATTTTATTTAATGGAAGAATTTAGAATATGAATTATAATTCCTTTATAGTGTATCTCTATTGCATTTTTTTATGTAAGTTGATTGCAGCCTAGGGCAATGGGTGCACAGTTAATTGTTCATTTGTTTTTTTGTCTCTCAAGGGTTACCTCAAACCTCCATATACCAGCCTAAGAATTTTTGTTTTGTTTTGTTTCATTGCATATTAAGTTTTAATTCCCTTTTCCTGTCCATCATGTAACTTCATGGAGAAACTGGAATTGATAACAATCATTAATTAATTATTTTATCAAACTCAAAGTTAATTTTGTTTATCTTCTCACCAAATAATAAATAAAATTAGATCAACTGTAACAATAAAAATATACTTGTCTCTTTAATTAAGGATCCATATCTTAGGGAGCTATAGTATTAGGAAATAATTCAACTTTAATTTTACCACTGTATTAATTCAAGATATTAATATGCATGCATGTGTACCATACATACAAGTTAATCACATTTCTCTTCTGTGAACCATTTTATTTTTCTGAGCAATCATTCAAATGTAGAATAAAACCTGTGATCTCATTTCAAAATAACTATACAATTAACTTCAAGTATCATGAGTTTGAAACTGGATGGTCAGTAAGTTGGAAAACCAAGTGGAATAAGGCTGCATTTAAAATTTAAAAAGAGAAAGAGATAGTCTGATATGCCTTCACAATGAAAAGTAATTCAGTACTGTAACATTTAAAATCTCATTAAAGAGCTCCAAGTTTTCCAGATATTAAAACAATCATCCTGCAGAAGAAAAGTATTATTTAAACTACTGATGGGTGTAGTAAGAAGCTTTCACATTTAATGGTTCAGAAGCATCATTCCTGTGTGCAAACAAGAACAATTAGTAAATCCAAATTTTCATGAATCATAATTAAGAAAAAATAGTAAGGAAAAAATTGCAATTCAGTTAGAGGACAAAAATGAAGTATAAGAAAGCTCTACAATTGTTATCTTAGGTTTGTAACAATGAAAAGTAAGAGGTAGGAAAATGTAATCCTGATAGACTGACAACAATCAACAATAAAAATATAATTATATGTACTATTGCATACATATGTATGTATATGTATTACATATGTTTGCATGTAAGTGTAAACCTACATATACATGTATGCACACACATATATAGTCATATGCCACATAACAATATTTCGGTCAACAATGGACCACATATATGATTATGGTCCTGTAAGATTATAATGGAGCTGAAAAAATGCTATCACCTAGTGGCATTTTAGCTATTGCAATGTCATAGCTCAACCCATTACTCACAGGTTTGTGGTGATGCTGGTGTAAGCAAACCTATTGTACTGCCAGTAGTAAAAATTTGTCGTACATACAATTGTGTACAGTATAATAGTACTTGATAATGATGATAAACAACTATGTTACTGGTTTGTGTATTTACTATACTATGATTTTTATTATTATTTTAGAATGTACTCTTTGTACTTAAAAAAAAATAACTGCAAAACAGCCTCAGGCAGTTCCTTCAAGAAATGTTCCAGAAGTCACCATTATTATAGGAGATGACAGCTCCATGAGCGTTATTGCCCCTGAAGAGCTTCCAGTGGGACAAGATGTGGAGGTGGAAGACAGTGATATTGATGATCCTGACCCTGTGCAGGCCTAGGCTAATGTGTATGTGTCTTAGTTTTTAACAAAAATATAAAAAGTAATAAATAAATTGAAATACATTTAAAATTTTTAAAAAGCTTATTGAATAAGGACATCAAAAATAATTTTGCACAGCTACACAATGTGTTTTTGTTTCAAGCTGTTTTATTACAAAAGAGTTAAAAAGTTTTAAAAAAGTTTATAAAATAAAAAGTTAAAACCAGCTAAGGTTAATTTATTATTAAATAAAGAAAAATGTTTTTAATAAATTTAGCCTAAGGGTAGAGTATTTATAAAATCTTCAGTCTTTTATAGTAATGTACTAGGGCTTCACATTCACCCACCACTCACTCACTTACCCACTCAGAGCAACCTCTAGTCCTGCAAGCTCCATTTATGTCAAGTACAATTTTTTACCTTTTATGCTGTATTTTTACTGTACCTTCTCTGCATTTAGATGTTTCTATGCATGAATACTTATCATTGTGTTATAATTCCCTGCAGTATTTAGTACAGTACCATGCTGAATAGGTTTGGAACCTAAGAGCAATCGGTTATACCATATAGCCTAGGTGTGTAGTAAGCTATACCATCTATATTTGTGTAAGTGCACTCATGTTGTTGTACAGTGATGAAATTGCTTAAGGATGCATTTCTCAGAACATATATTCATTTTTAAGTGATGCATGACTATTCCAAAAGTGAAATGCCAGATAAACACTTTAGTATGGTACTCAGGAACCTCCATAATATTGGCCTGATAAAATGTCTTACCAGCTTCATATTTACTATTTTTTTTCCAATTTCATAATCCAGTTATTTTATTCTGGATTTCCTTAATAGAAATATTTGTTCACATCCATTGTTAAAATTTTCTTTTACAATTCTGTGAAATAAAAAAAAATCCATGTTGTTTAAACTATTTTTTTGCATGTTTTCAAATGAATTTCTTTCCACTTTGACGGTACTTCCTGTTGAATTTTTATTTTAATGTTTCAGCTTACTTGTAAAAATCTCACTTTATTTATGCTTGTAGATTTTTTTTCTGATTGTGCCAGTCCCTTTCACAATCATTTCATATATTTATAATCAATCCTATTAAAATTAATGAACAAATAATTTAATAAAATAAAATCTCAAATGATAACAGGGAAGATACTGCCTCTCAAGGGGACTAAATATTTTCCAGTAGAGAGAAAATAGACTCAAGATAGGGAAGTGTAGGAAGTTGGGTATTAATGAGCACTCTATTAACTAAGGGTACTAGTTGATTATAGTAACTTTATTAGGGTTTTGTGTGAGTTGTACTTGAAAAGACTAGAGTTTTTTTTTTAGGTTAGTGAACAGGGAGATTCAAAATTTTTAAAAGATTAATGAAATAGAACACTTTTTTTTCAAAATTTTCTATTCCCGGGCACACTCCATTTATCTTAATTTTCTCTAATATAGCTGAGGCTCAAAGTAGAATACATTATAATCACATGTTCTTAAATGTGATTGTTACAGGCATTTTGTGATTAATGGAAGTGGGCATTACAGCTATGGAAATGCTGGTGAGCGGTTGGTATTTGAAAAGGATATTCTTCATTATCATAATAAAGAACAAACAAATGTCTCAAAAGGTCATCCAGTAATTTGTAAATGTTTGGCATTTTTGTTCAATTAAAGAATCACTTGTTAGATAAAGTTTTAAATATATATGAAGGTTTAATGTTTTTCAAGTTTTCTTACAACGTGATTGGTCTTAAATACCTTTACATAACTGACAGTACCCGTTCGATGCATACTGACAGGACCCACTAAGTGCATACGTCTGGTGCTGGGCACCATAGGACCTGTTCACAGTTTTGTCTCATCTCCCATCCTGCACCTTCTCTTCGCGACATCAAAGCGGTTGGACGGTTACTAGGAATATTCCTGAAAGTTATTCTTATTCTTGCATGTTTAGCTATAATCTAGCTGAAATATAAGAGACTATGAATCACATAAATATGCAACACGAAATTCAAACTAAATGAACAGCCAGCTCACATCAGCCATAGTCTCTCTCATACCATATAGAGTTATAGAAAGTGTAAAACATGGAAAATTAGAGTTTGAAGAATATGTCTTAAACAATTGCCATTATTATCTTACTTTTGCAAATTTCACAAAAAATATATGACCATGAGAGTATATTGTTATAGCGATTCTCTAGGCCTAGAAAAGAACCCTTATAAAAGTGAGGGGCTTGGTAGGTTAAGCTTCGTTAATCCATATGCCTTTGAACAGCAGCTGGCCATAGCCAAGCTATGAAACAAACGGAGGGAAAAGCAACAGATAAAAAGCTGAAATAGACAAGTCTGGATTTAAAGATACTGAGAATGAGTATCACGATTTAGGCATTTTAATTTGTGCTCCTCTGCAAAATTGCTTGGACAACTGAGACATCTGAATTAGTGAGAATCACTTTACCTTTCAGATATGTATTGAGTGCCTATTATGTTCAATGCACTGGTTATTTTCCCTCAATCTATATAGCGGTTTAGAATAATGACAGTACATCTTACAGGGATTATAAAAACAAGCTACTATGTTATGAGAAACATAAAATATCAATTAGGTGGGACAGAACTGATATAATGGAGCAAATTATTTTATCTGTTTGAGAGGATCAATTTTCAAGTAGTTTATAAGGTTTGAGGGGTCTTGAAAGTTAACAGGTTTAAGAGGAAAAAAAAATCCAATGAGGATAGGAGACACCAACATGAAAAAATGTGTTTTGAAAGGTAAAATTTATGAAGATAATAGCCTAGCATGCAAGATCTTTGATGATCTCTGAGCAAGTTTTATTTGGCCAACTTAACTCCCTCCATTTATCCCACACACATGAGCGCTAGGTGAATCGGTATTCCCAAACCATGAATCACCTCCCAATTCCTGTGTCTTTCACCTGCAGTTCCGTGTACCAGACATGGCTTTTGCCATTTGCTTCCAATGACCTCCTGTTCGTCTTTAAGTTCCACCTCATTGTTGCTCTCCCGTAAACTCCTTTCTCTTCGCTCATAGCATAATGAATTACTCTTCCCTTTGTGTTTTCATAGCATTTTGCATATTACATTTTATTGCGGTGATTTTGTGTCTGATGCTGCTTATTAAACTGAAGTATTTCAGGTTTAGGATAAAGACTAATTTATCTTTGTGGCCTGTATGTGCTTTTCACAGTACACTGCATATAGTGGTTTTCAATAAACATTTGATGAATGAAGGAAGATAGTTTTTAAAATATGCAATGGCATTGTCAATCCCTTCAAGGTATTCTTTTATTACTATTGTATTCCTGAGAAAAATTGCAGGTAAATTCATTCTATTTTACAGTGTATCTTAGTTTAAATTGAAAACTTACCCCAAAAAAAGCAAAGAAGCAAACATTGAGGATACACACACATATACACATGCATAAATATACGTATATATTTATAGCCTAAATGTATATAGAGAACACATTTTATCTAAACTAAGAGAATACAAATATATAAATCTGTTGAAACTGCTAAATACTACAAATTCTCCATCTCATCCATATTTATTGACTTGCCTTTTTATGAACATTGTAAAAAGAATAGGAAAGTAACAGTGAGTTTTAATATAGTCTACCTAATATGCCAGCCAATTGCTTTCCTTTTTTGATATACAATTAAGGTGGTAAAAATTGATTGCTGAATTATGGTAAACTGTATTAGGTGATGAATTGATAAGTTCTACAGAATGATAATAAATTATATGAATGTTATCACCAGCTTTACCAAAAAGAGAATAATCTTCAATTTTACTGGAACTACTCTGATAAAGACATCAATGTGCAAATCCTTTTAAAATTCAGTGTGAATTTGAAAACATAATTTAAGTATTAGCTGTACTACATAAAGATTCTTCTTCTAAAAATTTAAGACAAAACACACTTTTTGCAATCTATGCAAGAAACAATAGAAAATCATTTCGTGGGCAGAAGGAAGGACATTCTGATATTTAGGAGACTAGTGTTGATTACTTAATATGATTACATTATTCTTTCTTACTAGTTCAAATTTATTAGGATGGTGCAAAAGTAATGGCAGTTTTTAACATTACTTTTAATGGGATATGTAACCAGAATTTGAAACAAATACATTAAAAGTAATGGCAAAACCACAATTACTTTTGTGCCAACCTAATAATTGTAAAACTTTGTATTAGAAATAATAATTTACGACATCATATACTATAACTGAGTAGACAGGATAGTATAACCATTACTATTTCTTAATGCAAGTGTAAATTCTTAAAACTATAATCAAAATGTCCATAGACCCTTATTCCTGTTTACTAGATAAGAAGTAGCATTAACTTTATAAACAAATATTGTTCACGTGTTGCTCTTGCCACTGCCTGGACCTGAGAGTCTTTATTAGTAAACTTTCTCCACTTATTTTTGTTTGCAACTTGGGGATGTCATGTCATTTAGCCTGAATCTTCTCATTGAAGATTTGCTTCCAACCTGAATGAACTGTTTTACTTTCACAGCTTCCAGTCCCCTATGAAAAACAGTCAGTCCTCTGATGTTTCTAGTTCCTCACCTCCATCTGCTAAGAGCTGTAGCTTTCCCAGGACACCACCTGGGCTCCCAGTGTACAGAGCAGGACAGAAGGAAGGAATGGCCCCGTATTCAACTCTTGCCATCAGCACACAGATCAACAATGCTTGAAATATACTCATTTGTAAGTTCACCCTTTTAACCAGCTGCCATATCTCAAGCCTCTGTAATGAGGCTCAAAAGACACCTCAGAGATAAAACTGGCAGAATACCCTTTCCTTCACTGTCCTTATCTCCATTATCCTTCCTTCCAGACTCCTGTATACACAGACATGCACACACATGCACAAACACACATGACCCCAGGCACACAAACAGACAAAAGCTTAACCATCTAACAATATTTTTTTAAATTTTATTTATTTCTTTTCTCAATCCAAACAAAAGCCCTCTTACCTGCCAACACACGCAAATGATAATTTGGAAAATTTTCCTGCCCATTAGTTCGGCAAACTGCTAGACTTGGAACCCAAACAACCATATCATATTCCTCACGTTGTGTACTGGGCATCAAAAGGTAAATACTTATCATTTATACATATTGTTTTTACTTGTTCCAGTGTTTGAATTATTTTACATAAATTAGCAAAGAACAATTAACAATTTTTACACAAATTAGCAGAGAACAATTTTACATAAATTAACAAAGAACAATGCAAGGAAAGAGAAGTCAACCTCACTTAGGTTCATATTTATAACAACTACATCATAGAATTTATTAAAGGATTGAATGAGTTAATATTTATAAAGTAACTATCATAGTGTCTGGCTATCATAAGGGTCATGATAAACATAGCAATAGTCTGATTTGTGTTCATAAAATGTGCCTGGAGGGAAATAATTTTTTAACAGAAAACTACACTTCCTAGCAAGCCTGATTTCTTTATTTCTATCTATTATTCAATATCATTCCTCCTTTCTAAGGATTTTGTGATTGCTTCTATCAGACATCTTGCTATGGTTCAGATCCAGGCTTATGACGGCTGCCTCATCACAATATGTGGAATATTGTTTATACAGCTGCAGTTCCTTGTCTTCTGATTACAATTTTTTATTAATTTTGCTTCTGTGACTTTTCATAAATCTAATCTTAGATATCAGATGTAATGTTTGTTTTAATTAAACATTCAGCCTCTGACTTGACGGAGGCAATTTGAGTTACATCCAAATATTTCTAAGTAAATTTAAACTTAAAAAAACTTCAAGTTTTCACAGCAGCTGCACCAGTCTACAATCCCACCAGGTGTGTAGGAAAGTTCTAGTTGCCCTGCATTTTCTATATAAACTATTTGATTACATAGTTTTCATTTTCGATGTTTATTTTTTAAATCACACTATTATATAGTATCCCTCATTGCTGAGTTTGGAGCAGATGTGGAACCTCAAAGTATAAACTTGAAAAAAGTCATATCTAGAATAAGTACAAATAACTCATACATTGAATGATATTTATTTAAAAACTATATAATTCTCCTAATCCTTCTTTTGAATATGTTGCCCATGATATGAAAACAATAATGTTATAATTTTTTTCATGAAAGGACTTTTAAGTCTGAAAGATTATTGCTTTTTTAATTCCAAAGCAAATTCATTTTTCAAATCAGATGATCATAATACTGTATTATAGAATATTTGCATACACATGTCACAATATTATGCTCAAGACTCATATACTTATATTTAGGAAACTTGCAGAAATTAACACTGAATTTTTTTTACATGAGGAGTACTCAGGAATGATGTAGTTTTTATTGCAATGATTTCTAAAGGACATGTACTGGGAAGTACTATTAGTTAAAGGTTTTTAAGAATGGTATTAATGCTTCATATCGATCAGATCCAAAGTAGTAAAAGATATGTAATAGAATGTAAGTGAGGGGATGAATCTATGAAAATAAACCAAATATTGAAAACTATCTTGGAAATGAAAAGTTATTTAATTAAGTCAAATAGTTGAAAAAAGTTCTTAGACTGGTGACATAGTTCATCTCAATTGACTTGTAAACCTTTCTGGCATTTTTTACTGAAAATTCTCATTCCTGCAAAACATATCTTGACGTAATATATTTTTGCTGTATGAATATAAATGTAATATTATATACACACACATACACAAATACAAGTGTAAATAATATACTTTCAATATATTCACATTTTCTCCCACGGGTAGATATGCCAGAACAAGTAATGAGGAATCCAAATCATTCCCTCTTGGGGGTGAAGTAGGAAAGAACAACTGTGTCACATGCATAGAATCATACAGTAGTTTCCAAGAAGACACCTGGAAACTTGCTGTTAGAGTCATCAGAGGTCGCCTAGAAATGTAGTTGATGTGAATGATCTCAAGTTATCTCCCACATGACATGTTTAACGGGTCTTGAGAGCTTGACACACTTGTCACCTGAGCTGTTTTGAAAATAATGATTTACTTCTCTGAGTCAAAAAGGAATGCCTTTAATTTTATTTCAAGAGATTTTGTGATGTTTGCGAGACGGAATGGACAACAGCATTCAGAAAAAGAATAACACAGAAGTCTGTCCATGTATCTTTGAATGCATGAAGAGAAAATTGATCTATACTAGATACAGTTATATGGAGGCAATTATTTCCTAAGGCAATTATTTCATTTGTAAAGGGATAGGAGAAAAGGGAAAGTAATTATAGTATACTGTCATGTAGTCTAATAATGTAAAGGCCACTATATCAGCAGTGATGAAGATAGCCATCACTTCATTTGCAGTCAAATGGCATAGAGAAGTGCATTAGTAAACTTTCCTTCTTGAACATTTATTGGCAGTTTATCTTGTTTTCTTAGTCAATTTATGTCCCTCGTTAGTCATTCATTTTGATACATGAGAATATCTTATTTCAAGCACTGCCGACGTCGGCTAATATTGTAAAGGTGTAGTTTCTTGCATGACCATGAAAATATTAGAAGTATTATATATTTCATTTTATTATTTCTAAAAAATGCATGCGGTTCTGCAATAAAACAAAATTAAAATACTGTGTTAATACTGAGTCACTAAAATAAATTCATAAATTTCCCAAGTCAAATTTTTATTAAAAATAAAAATATATATATATGAGTCTCCCCTTCTCCTTACTTGGGAAAAAGGCCTGGCCTACAATATATATAATAACCACATTGAAAAAATTTAGGTTCCTTCCCTCTGGCAACCAGTTTTTCATTTCCTAAAGATGCCAGGCTGAATTCTTTTGCTGTGTGAAAAGAATATCAGTTTGTCTATAAATCGAATGTGGGTGAAAATTGCACAAAAGTCTCATTTCTAATAATATGCTTAGCTATTCTACAGAGTATGATATGTAAACCATAAAAAGTAAGACTTAAATCCAGAGTATTATAACATGACTGTAAGTAAAAAGATTTAGATTGTGATATTGTATGGTTTGAATGGATTTCATACACAAATGGTCACGGGAGGCTATACATACTTAAGAGTTAATACGTGTTCAATTGTGGAATGTTTTAATATAATATCAGTTAAAGGAAAAAATTCTACTACCACAATGTTAAAATTGATTTTAAATGATTGATAGGGAGAATAATTGGGTCCAGGAACAATCAAACTATTAACTTGTAAATAGTTCGTGAAATTTAAATGATCCTTTGAGACAGTCTTTATACATGGAAAAAGGTCTGCTCGGGTGTAGCCACATCTTGGTCTTCTTTTCTGCTACAGATAATGAGATAACGTGGAGGGGAAGAAAAGAAAAACACTGTCGTCCTCCTTGGTGGGTCTGGATCGTAGGCAGATACAGGAACTTCAGCTTCTTTGGAAGAGAAAATGAAGAGAGAGGTCAGAGAGACCTTGAGGCTTCTTCAGTTTAGCATGTCAAAATGGCATATTTGGCGGTCTTGCTTTCTGAATCCCAACACTTACAACATGGTGGCTGGGTTAAAGAACACGCATCCTAATAAAGAAATGGTGCTGGTTGGGTGCAGTGGCTCACGCCTGTAATCCCATTACTTCGAGAAGGCTAGGTGGGTGGATCATCTGAGGTCAGGAGTTCAAGACCAGCATGACCAATATGGTGAAACCCATCTCTACTAAAAATACAAAGTTAGCCAGGGGTGGTGGGGCATGCTTGTAGTACCAGCTACTTGGGAGGCTGAGACAGGAGAATCACTTGAGCCTGGGAGATGGAGGTTGCAGTGAACCAAGATAGTGCCATTGCATTCCAGCCTGGGCGACAGGAGTGAAACTCCTTCTAAAAAAAAGAAAAAAAACAAACAAACAGACAAAAAAACAGAAAACAAAAAACAAAAAACGGTGCTACATGTAAACTATTTTGCCCTTTAGTTTTCTGGTTTTCAGGCTAGAAGGCAGACTTTTCCACTAGTGCTTCCTCTGTAGCTGTAAAGCCCCCAGCAAAGAGAAACATACTGTAATGGCTCCTCACCTCCTCTCCTCCAAGCAAGCACATACTTCCTACCAGGGTCAGTTTGCTTCTCTTCACTCTTCAGCTCTTTCAGAGAGTCAGGGCATTTTTGTTTGTTTTTGTATCCCATGCAGGTTTTATTGTTTAATTTGCAGGGTTTGTCATCTGGTACTTTATTTCATCATGCTTGGAAGCAGACACAATAAAACCTGTAATATTGGATTTTGAGCATGTGACAGACATGGGTTTTATCTGTGGGAATCTTTTTGGGAACCTCTAGAGGTGTTTTATATATATTTCTATTAGATTTTCTGGGGCACTACCAATCTTGGAAAAATTATTACATTTTCAGTTTGTAATTTACTAGATTATGCAAATTTAAATTATAAAATAGTACAGAAGTAAGTCTCAGTTACATATTTCCAGGGAAGACTTTGTTTTCTGCCTAGAACCCACATGAAGGCAGACAGGCTTCTTTGTCCTGTTCCTCTGTGATTTTTATTTTAAAAATAATTCCATTATTTCACTAGGGATTTGACATTTGAAAGCCCCCACTTTGAATATTGTATTGTTTTCAAATTCATCCAAGGCAACATCAGCTGTTATTTTTGGTCCTTAATATACCAGTTTACTATTTCTTGATACTAGCAAAATTCTCCAATGGCAAAAATGCCTTCAGAGTTAGCTTACCGCTCTGATACTTTTAACTCACATTATTTTTTTTTCCCAAGGGTTTTTTTTTTACTCTCTCCTGATCAAAAGTGTTTATGTAACAGAAAATTATACATTTCAATATTTTGAGGTATCTTTTCAAGATAAATCCTTTTGCTAAAAATGGAATACTATTCAGCCTTAAGAAGGGGGAAAATCCTGTCATTGGCAATAACATGGATGGATCTACAGGATATTATGACAAATGAAATAAGCCAGACACATAAAAGACATTTCCTATAACAACTCACTCGTGTGAAATCTAGAAAATTGGAAGTCATAGAAACAAAAAGTAGAATGGGGTTTGCTAGAGTCTGGGGGGTCAAGGGAGATGGGAAGATGTACGTCAAAGCACATAAAGTTTCCATTAGACAACGGCTGGAGATCTATTATAGAGCGCAGTGTCTACAGTTAGTAATAATGTATTGTATACTTGAAAATTGCTGACAGAAGATCATAACTTTTCTCAACACAGAAATGATGCATATGTCTGATGAAGGATATGTTAATTAGCTTGATTTAACTATTGCACAATGCATTTATATATAAGGGTATCATGTTGTACTCTGTAAATACATGTGTTTTTATTTGTCAAGGATACCTCAATACAAATAAACAATTAAAAAAACAGAAGTTATGGCATTGTTTAAAAAATCAACAGTATTCCACTGTACCAAATGAGGAGCTACTTTACATAATTCTGAGTGGTGGTGATGGGGTTGGAATCCTTCAACCAAAGACTGAATGGCATAAGCGTATAAATGTAGTGAACTCCTTGCTTTAATGTGAAATTAATTCTATGGTACAATTCATGCTTCAGAGCACCCTGCACGATAAACCTGAAGCCAGATTCTAGCTGGAATCCCATTTTCGCTGATTGTCCTTTCTTTCTTTATCCTGTTTTCCTCGACCACTTTTTCGTGGGAGCATTCCTTCAACAAATCACATGCACCCGAGTCCCTAAATCAGGCTCTTTTCTAGGAGCCCTAACTTAAGATACTGACTGCAAATTCCTGATTTTAATCTCTTCCTTTTCTTCCTCTTCATGAAAAGAAATAAACCTTGGGTATCAGAGAGAATATTGTTTATTAATATATCACGCTTTCTAAGAAACTGTGAGGTTTTTTTTTTTTTGTCATAATGGGATATAGAAGTATACTTCACCCATAGGGGAATGGGAAAAATAGTGATCATTTGCTGAACGATATTAAGTAGTATAAAAACTTTATCTGAAGATAGTCTTAAATAGAAGAGGGTGCATAACATTCCTAAGTAAGGAGGAACCATTAATGGAAGAAACTAGGCAATATTTAGAAAACTTTGGCTGTTGCACATCTAAAAGTTCAAGGGCTTGGGAGAATTTACAACAACTAGAATTCCTTTACTTGATGTCACTAGTCAGCTTGCTAAAAGTAGACTGATCAGAATGGACTTTTTGTGAGCCAGTAGCGAATCAACTCATTGTAATATACAAACCAAGACTTACTATTCCCAAGTCGTCTTTGGGTTATATTTTTCTCTTCTCTCTATTCAAGTTGAGATCTTTTCTTTTATTCTGTAGTTATTACTGTTTTCCTCTTTTCCTTCTATTTTGGAATTCCCCTCAATTTGCAAATGGTTGAGCTATTTTTTAAACAAACTTCTTGTGTGACAAAAGTCCTGAATGAAGCTTGAGCATAAATACACGAATATTATTGAAATAAATAAACCTCAACACAGTTTGTAATTAGCTATAGATTTTAGCAAGCATGTGAAAATAATCCTGTCAGAAAGTAAATTCTTATTAAATAGGGTACTAAAATATCATGAGTGGCTATCAGTCTTATAGGATGGAGATATTTTGGGGGGAGAAGTTCTCAAAATTCTGTCCTTATAAACAAATTTATTTTCTTTTTCTTTTTCATTTTTTTTTTTTTAGATGGAGTTTTGCTCTTTTGCCCAGGCTTGAGTGAAGTGGTACAATCTCAGCTCACTGCAACCTCTGCCCCCCAGGTTCAAGTGATTCTCCTGCCTCAGCCTCCTGAGTAGCTGGGATTACAGGTGCCCGCCACCATGCCCAGCTAATTTTTTGCATTTTTAGTAAAGACGGGGTTTCGCCATGTGGGCCAGGCTGGTCTTGAACTCCTGACCTCAGGTGATCCACCTGCCTTGGCCTACCAAAGTGTTAGGATTACAAGCATGAGCCAACGCGCACGGCATCAACTTTATTTTAAAAATCAATGAGAAAGAGAAAAATGGAAAGAGGAAAAAGTTGAAAACAGATTAAAACAGGGAAGAACAGAAGGGATGAAATAGACCCTGATTATTCCTTAGCAGTGTTGAAATATTTGAAACTTAACTTCTATGGAAAGAAGGAAGTATATCATCTCAAAGAAAGTTAGAGAAGGTTTAAATCCGTCAAATTAGTATGTCTTTATATTTTGATAATCAAGAATATGAGCTGATTTTTTTGAGCCAGCCAAGAGAAAAGTTAACTAGTCCACTGTTCAATTATCTTTATATATTTTCCTTTATTTGGAAAGAGTGAAATATCATGAGATTAATACTATATAACATATTATGTGGTGAAAGACATGTTATCATTTTAGCAACAAAATTTTTGGTAAAATTTGCTATGAATAGCTACTCTATTTTCATATATGTTGAACTAGTAAGAATGTATGCATTAATTTCTAATTGTAGTTGCCAAGACAATGATACATTTTAACTTTAGATGAGTATTCTACCATCAGTAGAGATTTAACGTACTGAAAAATATTGTTCGCTGGTAACACTGGTAATATGCATCCTCTTTTTAGAAAAACAAGAGTAATAAAATAAACTTTGATTTTGATCTATAATTATGGCAGTTATTGCATACCTTTAGATTTTACAACATATTGAATTTTAAAAAGTTAATATTCTCTAATTTCATAAATATTTCGCATTCATATAAGAACTAATATTGTAAAAGCAATTAACAATAAGGATTATTGGAAAGGCAAATAAATAAATGTTAAATAAGCCTCCTTTATGTCAATTTTCTTCTATTTCCTTATTTTATTAGAGGTACCAATATTGGAAATGAAATAGGTTTTGTAAGTCACGTAATTTCTGCACACAGAAAGGTAACACTCCACAGAAAAATACTGGCACTAATTCTTAATACATTTTCTAACATGAAGTTTCCTCAGGGAAATGTAATGTCAGTTGACAAAAATATTCAAGAACCACATACAGGGAATGCCTGAATCCATATAGGCTAATTGCACCATATAATGTAATTTTTGAATTATGTTTTGCTGATGAAGTCACTGTAATAATTTTAGTTTCATTTTATCTTATTTTGATTTATGGATTCTGCTTATATGATGCCTATTACCATTATTTCTTGCCAGCTGAGGCAAAAATATGATTTTCCATTGAAATTATCTTCTATTTCACTTCCCAGAGTGGAAAGTAGCAGTGAATGCATGAATTATAATTGGAAAAATGTGTTATTATGATAATATGGTAAAACAACAGTAGTAGCGTCTTCTGAGGATCTGAGCACTCACTGTACTATGCAGAAATAAGTGAAATAATATATTAAAAAACAATATAAAAGTGAACAGTGGATTGATATTACTAAAAATGGCAGAATAGGGAACTCTAGGGCTCTATCTCTGCACTTTTGCAACTAATAAGTGAGGAAAATCTCTGAATTTGCTTCTGCAGACTCTGGAATCCAGTCAGAAAATTACACAGACAATACCAAACTTAATGAAGAAAGAAGCTTTTGCATTGTAGTAAGAGTTCTGTTGCTCTTAAAAATGACTGCCTACTATTTCACTCTTCTCAGATGGGCAGAAGCTATGAAGACAGCAGCCTATACTCTTGGTGCAGTTTTTGAGTATCAGAGTTAGCAAGACAGACCATCTTCTCAAAGAATTGTGGCTGTGTGCTTCTGCCTGTTTTCTGGAGGCTCCCTTCAGGAAGGACACAAGTGATTGCCTTTGTTTCACCTAATTTGAAACATTCACAGGGCTGGCGTGTCTTTCTGGGGACTTTTTGCTGAAAACATTCAAATGCTAAATAAATTATTGACTGTAGTAGCCTGGGGACAGGGAGAAACAGAACTGGACAAATAATAGACAGACCAAAAATTTTGAAAAGAGGTTAGAGAAGGAGAATCATTAGAAATAAGGGACTTATAAAGCTCCCAGGTATATTAGGAAATAACAGAAGGCAACATGCATGCCCAAGGCTAGGCACATGCTCATAAAAGACCTGAGAAGATCTTAAATGTTCACCTCTGTGAACCTTCAATCTCTAAGCAAGCTATAAGTAAAGGTTAAGGCAGATTTGTAAATGGCCTGATAAGCAGTAAAGATATGCTCAGACACAGATCCAATATGCAAAGATTAAGAGAGTACTGTATTTTTGTTTTGCTTTGTTTTCTTTTCTGGAAAAAAAAGGAAACTATCGAAACAATAGGTGGCGCTAAGCTAAAGAACAGACTTCCATGGCCGCATTGACAAAATACAGACTTTGCAAAATAGCTTAGTAGGACTCTAAACAAACAAGAAAAAACAACCACCACCCACAACAAGCAGCAAAAATATACTTCTTGGGGATGAATAATCTGATTTTCAGAGTCTTCATATTATAATATTCAAAAAGTCCACAGAACACAGCGTGAACATTCAGTATTGTATAAAGTTCACATTATAATATTCCCAAAAAAAAGCCAACGCAGTATGGCACATTCACAGGGAATAAAAGAAACTAATAAAAACAGTCAGGGAAGTGCAGACATTAGATTTATTAGATAAAGACACCTCCTATGGTGTGAATATTTGTGTCCTCCCAAAATTCACAAGTCTAAATCTAATCCCCAGTGTGATGGTATTAACAGGTAAAGTAATTGAAGGTGATTCAGTCATGGGGATGGAGGCTTTAGGAATGGGATTGGTGGGCTCATAAAAGAGGCCCCAGCAAAATGCCTTGTCTCTTTCACCATGTGAGGACATAGTAGGTTCTATTCCATGAAGCAGGAAGTAGAGCCAGACACTGAATCTGCCAGCACCTTCGTCTTGGACCTCCTAGCCTCTAGAGCTGTAAGATATAAATTTCTGTTGTTTATAAGCCACCCAGTTTATGATATTTTATTACAGCAGCCTGAATAGACTAAAACAACACTAAATCAACTGTCCTAAATACCTTCAAAGAGCTAACAGAACTATAAAGAAAGGACTCGATGAAACTAGAAAATCAATGGCTTATTAAATAGAAAATATCAATTAAACAAACAGAAATTATAAAAATGAACCAAAAATTCTGAAGCTAGAAAGTCCAACTAAAATTAAAACATTCACTAGAGAGGTTTAACAAAAGATGTGAAAACAAGAAAGAATGAGCAAACTTGATGGTAAGTTATTTGAGATCATCTAGTCTGAGGACAAAGGTTAAAAACAACAGCAAACATAACAACAAAAAAGAATAATATATGGAGGTTTAGAGGGCTGTGGAAAACTATCAAGCATAATGGTATATGTATAATGAAAGTCCTAGAAAGAGAGAAGAAAAACAAAAGGTTAAAAATATTTGAAAAGTAGTGCTCAAAAAATTCCAAAATTTAATGAAAGACAGGAAGCTATGCATCCAAGAAACTCAGCAAACTCCTAGCAGTATAAACCCAAAGATACCCACTTCAAGAAACATTATAGTCAAAAATTGTCAAAAGCCAAAGACAGAGAATCTTGAAATGCCAGGAGAGAATTGACTCTTAATGTACAATGGATCCTCAAATGATTAATGGCTAATTTCTCAATGAAAATATTAAGGCCAAAAATAAGTGGAATAATGTATAAATGCTGAAAGAAAAAAAACTATGAACTGAGAATTCTTATATCTGGCAAAACTAAAATTCAAAAATGAAGGAGAAATTAAGACATTCCCAGATAAAGAATAAATGAGAAATTTCATCATGAATAGACCTGCTTTCCACAAAATACTTGTTAAAATAAAACTCGAGACAAATTCAATTTAATGGAGTTTAACTGAGCCAAAAAATAATAATTCAGGCAGCTTCCAGAATAATAGCAGATTCAGAGGGACTCTAGGGATGCCTCATGGACAGAACAAATTTATAGACAAAAAAGGGAAAGTGACATATAGAAATCAGAAGTGAGGTACAAAAACAGCTGAATTGGTTACAGGTTGGTGTTTGCTGTATTTGGACACAGTGTGAACACTCAGTAGTGTATGAGTGGTTGAAGTATGGCTGTTGTGATTGGCCAGACTCAGCTGTTGTTACAGGTGCATACTCCTGAATTATGTTTTCAATCTTGTCTACCTATTAAGTTAGGTTGCAGTTTGTCCACAAGAACTCAAATATGGAATTACAGATTCCTTCTCAGGTCATATTTAGTTTGATTTAACATATTAAAGATAGTTCTTCAGATAGAAATGAAGGGACACTCAACAATAACTTCAATCCAAATGAAGAAATATAAAAACAATAATGGTAAATACAAAGATAAATTTAAAAGGTAGCAAATATTATTGCATATTGGCTTTTTAATCCTGTGGTAACTAACATTTTACTATTACAATAATCAAGTTTGAATTAATACTAAATAGGTTCAATAGTATACAAAAGCTCTTCTCCTTTACAGATTTATTCCCTGTATTAGTTTGTTTTCATGCTGCTAATAAAGATATACCTGAGACTGGTTAATTTATACAAGAGGAAGGTTTAATAGACTCACAGTTCCACATAGCTGGGGAGGCCTCACAATCATGGTGGAAGGCAAGGAGGAGCAAGTCACATCTTACATGGATGGCAGCAGGCAAAAAGTGAGCTTGTGCAGGAAAACTTCCCCTTATAATACCATCAAGCTGTCCTGAGACTTACTCACTATCACCAGAACAGCATGGGAAAGCCCTGCCCCCATGATTCAATTACCTCCCACCAAGTCCCTCCTACAACACCTGGAAAGTCAAGATGAGATTTGTGTAGGGACACAGCCCAACCATATCACCACCTTTTATGTTGTTATTGTCACAAATTATATACATTGTGTGTCTACTAATATGTTTTAATTATGATTTTATGCATTTGTTTTAAATCAAATAGAAAAGAAAAATTACAATGTGATAATTAAGCAGAAATCTTTTAAACAACCAATGAGTAAAGGAAAATATTGCAAGTAAAATTGTTAAATACTTTTACTTGAATAAAAAAGAAAACAAAAGCATGATATTCCAAAGCTAATGGAATCTAGTGGAAATAATGCTCAGAGAGAAATTTGGAGCTTCAAATACCTATATTAAAAGAAAATTAAGATCTGAAATGGACAACCTAAAAATTTCTGCCTCTAGAAACTAGAATATGAAGGTCAAGATAAACCACAAGAGGGAAATAATAATTAGAGCTCAGATAAAAGAAATATGAAATATAAAAAACATTAAAGAGATAAAGTTTGGTTCTTTGAAAAGATGAACAAAATTGGTAAATTTAGCTAGACTGACAAAGAAAAAAAGAGAAGAATCAAGTGACCAACATCGGAATTTAAAGCAAGGCCATGAATACAGAGTAGAGAATACTATGAAAAGTTTTATGCCAACAGATTAAATAACCTGTATGAAATTGACAGCTTTCAAGAAACACAAAATCCATCTAAAACTGAGTCAAAAAGAAATAGAAAATCTGAGCAGAAGTATAACTGATTCAAGAAATTGAATCAGTATTCAGAAGTTATCTGTTAAGAAAAGTCCAGAACCAGATGGCTTCACATCTGAATGCTAACGATGATTTAAATAATTTAAATCCAAACTTCTCAAACTCTTTCAAAAAATAGAAAAGGAGGGAACACCTCCTAACATTAACTGAGTTAAGCATTGCCTTTGAAATCTCCGTTGCAAAATTATAACTGTGACAGTGAAAGAGATCTGACCTAACAATCTCCATCTTGCCTCTAACCTCCAAGCTGTCCTTGTTCATTCCTGGGTGTAGGCTGAATTAACTTTGAGAGGAACTTTATTTATAGTTCATACGTTGAAACAAAGATTATAATAAACCTTGCTGCAAACAAACCCTCTTCTTGTCTGGAGACTAGACTGCCTTTGTAGGACTAACAAATTAGCCAAAAGATTAGAAATTATAGTTTAGGAGCTGAAGGCTGCAAGATTCGAAACCTCTGCAAATTGGTCCTGGGATAACATCATTATTGTAAAACCGAAAATTAGTGCTTGAGAGATTTTGCACACCCTGCACTTGATGGATCAGCTGGCACCACCCAGATCAATAAACTGGCTCATGTGATCTTGTGGCCCCCACCCAGGAACTGACTCAGCACTTCAACTCCCTGTGATTTCATCTCCGGAACAACCAATTAGCACTACTGACTCACTGACCCCTACCCACCAAATTACCCTTGATTCCTGAATGCTTGGGGAGACAGATTTCGGTAGTAAATACAACTCTGGTCTCCCACACAGGGGGCTCTGCATGAATAACTCTTTGTCTATTGCAATTCCCCCATCTTGATAAATCGATTCCGTCTAGGCAGTGGGCAAGGTGAACCCACTGGGTGGGTACACTCTGATAACAAAGACATCATAAGAAAAGAAAGCTGTATTTAAATTCCTCTCATTAATGCAGGTTTAAAATTTTTCAACAAAATGCAAATTGATTCCAGCAGAATAATAAGAAGATTACAGACTATGACCAAGTTGGATTCCAGGGGTGTAAAGGTGGCTCAACATACAAAAATAATTAATGTAATACAACACGTTAATATATAGAAGGAGGGTGAAAGATTACTGCAATTAATGTATAAAAATGTATTTCACACAAATCAATGACATTTCATTACAAAAATACTCAAGAAGCTAGAACTATAAAAACAAAAATTTCCTCATTATGATAAAGGTATAATTATTTTTTTAAAAACCCCAGCTAACATTATACTTAATGGTAAAACATTGAAAGCTTCCCCTTAAATCATGAATAGACAAGTATGGCCATTTTGCCCCTTCTCTGCAACATTTTGCTTGACATTCTTGATAGAACAATTAAGAAAGTGAAATAAATAAAATTCCTCCAAATTAGAAGGGAAAAATTAAAATGATCTGTATTTACAAATGAGATATTATATATAAGAAAATCACAAGGAATTCATAAACTGTTAGAAATAATAAATGATTTTACCAAAGTTGCCTTTTAAAAGATCAGCACACAAGAATCAGTTGTATTTCTATAAAACTAAAAGTAGACATTCTATAATTAAAAATAAGAAAATAATTCTGTTTTCAATAGTATCTAAAGAAATAAAATAATAATAAATTTAACAAGTGAAGTGCAAGACTTATATTGTGAAAATAAAATATTGCTAATTAGAAGTGACAGGGTTCACTATGTGGAAAACTTCAAGGAATCTATAAAAAAAGCTTATAAATAACGAGTGTAGAAAAATTGCAGGTTACATAAGCATAAAAATATTTTGTAGTTATATATGGCAGTAATGAACGCATAGACATAGAAATTAATGTATCATAGCATTTATAATCACTAAAAATCAAAATAGTCACGTATAAATCTAATAAAACATGTTTAGAAATTTTACATTAAAATCTATGCAATGCTGATAAAAAATCAAAGAAGTTCTAAATAAATAGAGAAACCTACTATGTTCTTATATTAGAATACTCAGTGTAGTAAAGATAAAAGTTATCCTGAAACTGGCATACAAATTAACACATTTTTTATCACTGCTAGAATTTTATGACATAGAAAATACTATTATAAATTTTATATGAAAGACAAAAGAAGTAAAATTACTAAAACAACTTTCAAAAAGAATAAAGTAAGAAGAATCCTTCTGCCTGATTCCAAGGTTTATTATATAGCTATAGTAATTTTAAGAATTTAAATACACATAAGTTAAAGCAACTTTATTCATAATAGTAAAAAGTAGAAAACAAGCCAATTTCCTTAAATGAACAAATGACCTAAAACACTGTGGGACACACATACCATGAATTACTCCTTAGTGTTTAAAAAGGAACTGACTATTGACATGACATGGATGAATTTTCGTAGAATTATACTGCGTGTAACAAAGCCAACCTTCATGTTACATACTGCATAGTATTACTTATATAACATACTTGGAATGATAATTTATAGATGAAGAACAGGTTAGTGGTTGCCAATGATTAAGGGGGAAGGAAATAAGTAGATGAAGCTATACAAGGGTGACTTGCAGGAATTCTGTGGTGAAGAAAATGTGGTTTATCTTTTTTGGTTTTATTTATTTATTTATTTAATGTTATTTTTTTTTTTTTTTTGGAGACAGAGTCTCACTCTGTCATCTGGGCTGGAATGTAGTGGCATGATCTTGGCTCATTGCAACCTCTGCCTCCTGGGTTCAAGTGATTCTCCTGCCTTAGCCTCCGGAGTATTTGGGATTACAGACATGTGCCACCACACCCAGCTAATTTTTGTATATTTAGTAAAGATGGGATTTCACTATGTTGGCCAGGCTGGTCTCGAACTCCTGACCTCGTGATTAGCCCACCTCGACCTCCCAATGTGCTGGGATTACAGATGTGATCCACTGTGCCCAGCCTAAGATAATATTGAGGGATTTCTTTTTTTTCTTTTTTTGAGATGGAGTCTCGCTCTGTCACCAGGTTGGAGTGCAGTGGCACGATCTTGGCTCACTGCAACAACTGCTTTTCTGGTTCAATTGATTCTCCTGCCTCAGCTTCCTAGGTAGCTGGGACTACAGGTGTGCCTCAGCACATGCAGCTAATTTTCATATTTTTAGTAGAGACGACGTTTCACCATGTTGGCCAGGATGGTCTCTATCTCTTAACCTTGTGTTCTGCCTGCCTCAGCCTCCCAAAGTGCTGGGATTACAGGCATGAGCCACCACTCCTGGCCTGGTTTGTTTTATTTTGGAGAAGAAGCTTGCTTTGTTGCGCAGGCTGGAAGGTAGTGGCAAAATCATAGCTCACTGCTGTCTCAAACTCCTGGGCTCAAACAATCCTCCTGCCTCAGCCTCCCAAAGTGCTAGGATTCCAGTGTGAGCCACAATGTCCAGGGTGTTATTTATCTTAACTGTATCAATATTAACACCCTGGTTGTGATATTGTAGTATAAATTTGCAAGATGTTAACACTTAATGAATTTGAGTAAAGGTACACTTTTGAGATTTCCGTATTATTTCTTATACCTGCATGTGGATTGTGGTGGTTAATTTTATGTGTCAATTTGAGTGGGTTATGGAATGCTCAGGTAGCTGGTAAAACATTATTCCTGTGTGTGTCTGTGAGTGCTTCTAGAAGAGATTACTGTTTGAATCAGTAAACTGAATAAAGATGACCCTTACCTAGAGAGTGGGCACATTCAATCTGTGGAGGGTTTTCATAGAAGAAAATGGAAAGGAAGGGGAAATCTGTTCTCTGCATGAGCTAGGGCATCATCTTCTCCTGCCCACAGGCATTGGTACTCTTGGTTCTTGGGTCTTTAGACTTGGACCAGAATTTATACCATTGACTCCCAGGCCTGTAGGTTTTGACTAGAACTACACCACTGTCTTTCCTGTGCCTCCAGTGACATCATGGGACTTCTTAGCCTTTATAACCACCTGAGCCAATCTCTTATAAAATACATCTCTTTTTATAAGTCCAAATATTTATCTTATTGGCTCTGCTTCTCTGGAGACCATTTGTACATGAATCTATAATTATCTCAAAATTAAAGGTTTAATTTTTAAAAAGGGAAACATTTGTTGATGTCTCAATCAGTGGATGAATGATTCATCATTGGTCAATCATTAGGAATGAAATTCTTTGGCAAAAAACTAAGTTGCAACTTGTCATATGTACGCAAAAAGAGTTTTGAGTTTCCCGGGAAGAAAACTATTTATAGTCTATTGCTCAGTAACAGCATGACTGATACGGTTTGGGTCTGTGTCCCAACCCATATCTCATCTTGAATTGTAATCCCTGTAATCCCCATGTATCTAGGGAGAGACCTGGTGGGAGGTGATTGGATCCTGGGGGTAATTTCCCCTATGCTGTTCTGATGACAGTGAGTTCTCACAAGAGCTGATAGTTTTATAAGGGACTCCTCCCCCTTCGCCCCTCACTCTTTTCTCTCTCACCTGCTGCCATGTAAAATGTGCCTATTCCCCTTCCACCATGTTTGTAAGTTTCCTAAGGCCTCCCCAGCCATAGGGAACTGTGAGTCAATTAAACTTCTTTCCTTTTATAAAGTGCGCAATCTTGGGAAGTTCTTTTTTTTTTTTTTTGAGACAGAGTTTCACTCTTGTTGCCCCAGGCTGGAGTGCAATGGCGCGATCTTGGCTCACGGCAACCTCCGCCTCCCAGGTTCAAGCGATTCTCCTGCCTCAGCCTCCCTAGTAGCTGGGATTACAGGCATGTGCCACCACGCCCGGCTAATTTTGTATTTTTAGTAGATACCGCGTTTCTCCATGTTAGTCAGGCTGGTCTCAAACTCCCGACCTCAGGTGATCTGCCCACCTTGGCCTCCCAAAGTTCTGGGATTACAGGCGTGAACCACCGCGCCCAGCCTGGGAAGCTCTTTCTAGCAGTGTGAAATGGGCTAATACAATAACAGTTCACAGTTTACAGTTCCTCTGAGCAAGGACTCTTACATAACAGCCACATTGGTATGCCATGAATATTATCCCAGGATTTCTCCAGAAAAACTTGGAAGTTATCAGAGGAATTTTGCACAGAGACAAGAAAAAACAAAAATTTCTGGTAATTTTCAGATACTAGCTTTAACTGATTCTAATTTATGATGCCTTAAAAAAATCACTGTAATCCACTAAAGATGAACTTATTAAAGTCAAATTTGATTAAATGGACTGCAGTCATGCATCTGTCTTTCTCTCTATTTGGGACCACGGACTTATCTCATGGTTTATTTTCCAATCAGAGAATATACAATGGAATAAATGTACCTAATAGTTGGCAGAATTATTGCATCAAACTCCTGACCTCAGAAATGGCAGGAAGGGAGAAATGAAAGCCCCAAAAAATGCTCCCCCCTCAAACAGAATAATAAAAACAGTTCTGTCTCTAGGGAGGTTATTGTAGGATTTAATGAGATCATGAAATGCTGGAAATTGCAGGATTGTTCAATATGACCAAATACCCATTTAACTTGACTATTTGGCAGTGAAAAAAAAAATAACAACAGGTAGCTTGTGAATAAATTCTAGTAATTATTGAAACTCTTATTTGGTGACACCATTTCAAACTGAATTTAGAAAGGAGGTATATATATTAGAGCAAATTAAGCAAACTCTGGGATGAAGAATGAAGTTATCATCAACCTATTAATATTTTTTCCCTATCACTATTAGGAAAAAAAAATCAGAAGTGGTTTGTTTTCATGTAGTAAGGACAACAGTATGCCTTTATATATTTACCTCAAGGATATGCCCAGTTGGCTCAGTGTTATATTCCAAAGGGATCTTGATTATCACAATATCCCAAAAAGCATCATGAAAGTCAATTTCATTGATGAGATTATGCTAATTCCTAGTGAGCGGAAAGTAGGAGATGCTTTAAATACCCTTCTAAAATACATGTCTGACAGAGGATCAGAAATAATCCCCAGGGAACTAAAGCAGCTTGACACATTAATTAAGTTGCCCAGGCTCCAGTGTTTTGTAGAATGTTATAATATTACTTCTAAGGTAAGAGGGAGGTTGATAAATCTTACAGTGTTCACTATGAAGAAAGAGGCTCTTTTTGTATTTTGATGGCAATATATATCACATTTGAAATAGCCTGAAAGGTTGCAACTTTAAAAAGGTGTTCGGAGGGAGAAAGAAAAAGAAGAAATGTTTTCGCCTGCTGACCTTGAGTACTAATTATTCTGCCACATGTGCTATGTGATATAATAGATCCAGTGTTTTCAGATATATAACATGTTACAGATAGGGATGTTCAGTGTTGCCTTTGTCAAGACCCCAAAATAATATTCCATTGTGAAGAACTGGAATTTTGGATTCATGCCATTTCAAATTCTATGACAAACTGCATTTATTGCAAAGCAATTCTACACCGTCTACTAGTCTCTTGGAAAAATTGCATACCTAAGTGAAGGACACAAAGTGGTTACCCTAAGTGAGTATTATCTGATCCACCACACCATAAAATTAGACTCAAACAACATAATTTCATTGTGCATTGAAATGATACATATAAGGCTAAGCCAAATCTTGTCTAGGAGGCACCATTATTTTTATACAAAAATGTTATTAGAACATTCATGATATGTCCTCCTACTCTCTCAGTATTTGTTTCCTATCACAACCCTCTGGCATTATGGGTGTTGGATACCAAAGATGATGGCTCTTATTAGATACCTCTCCTCTTGGAGGTGCTAGCTCTGTATTCAGTTTCCCACATTGTGGCATCGTGCCTAAGTGTGGTTAGTCCTCCACTGCCACTGCTCTTAGGGTATGATACTATTACTATTGGTTCCTTATATTCTATCCACACTTTTGCAAATTATTAAACACCCTTTAAAATATGAGCTTTCAATGTTGTGTCTTGCCATAATCACATAAATAAAAAAGAGGAATACTGAATTTTTCCTGTGAAACTGGGAATGATAAAAGTATTTTACTACAAGTGCCAGCCATCACAACTATACAAGAAAATAAACAAAAGTTAAAAAATTTTGCTCTGCAGAGAGACAAAAAATAAAAGTGGCATTATTACAGATATGATTGTATATTCACATGATCTAAAATAATATACAGATAAATTATTGAAATTTAGCAAATTTATTAAGCATGAAGATTATATATGAAAATTAGTTGTTACTTATATTACCAACAAACAGAAAATTAAAATAATGTTATGTACTATAGCATCAAAAATGTCAAATATGAATGAATCTAACATAAATTGTGCAAGATTTCCATGTATTACAACATAATATATGATTGATCTAAATAATAACTATATAAATGAAGAATAAGCCATATTCATTAATTGCAATGCCTAATATTGTAAAAATGTCATTTTCCCAAATTGATATACAGATTTAATGTATTTCATTCAGAAATTCCAAAAGGTTTTTTGAAGACCTAAAAAAACTTTCCTAAGCTGTGTGTATAAATGCAAAAACCAAGAAATGCCCAGAAGAAACACTTGAGGATGAACAAGTTATAGAACTTTATTAATAGAATTTACAAAAGAGATTTAATGTTATGGTATGGTAAAAGTAGCAGTGTGTTATTGGTGTAAATGTAAGAGAAAAGATAGAATTAATCTATATACATACAGATCTATACATTTGCATGTACATACACACAACAATATATACACACATATCTTTGCTTTATGAAAAATTACACTGAAAATGAGGGGAGCCAAAATTATCTAAGATGTAGTATTGGAGAATCTGAATAATCTCAGGGAAAATGGCATACACAAAAGTCTATTTGAAATAGATTACAGTCATAATTGTCAACAGTAAAATTAGATTTTATAAAGTATAAAATAAGATTTTAGAAAGTAACTCTACTAAAAATACAAAAATTAGTTGGGCGTGGTGACGGGCGCCTATAATCCCAGCTACTCAGGAGGCTGAGGTAGGAGAATTGTTTGAACCTGGCGGGGTGGAGATTGCAGTGAGCCGAGATTGTGCCACTGCACTTCAGCCTGGGCAACAGAGTGAGACTCCGTCTCAAAAAAAGAAAAAAAAAAAAGGCATACAATGAATTATCAGAAAGAACTATACAAAAGTGAAGAATTCTGTCCATCTAAGTTGCTATTAAGACAGTGAGAGAAACGACATGAGTGGGACTAGGGATTTGTTCCCACACATATTAGTCCAGTCCGTTAGTCCATTTGAGTTGCTATAAAGGAATTACCTGAGGCTGAGTAATTTATGAGGAAGAAGTTTATTTGGCTCACAGTTCCACAGGCTGTATAAGAAGCATGGTTTCAGCATCTGCTCTGGTGAGGGCCTCAGGAAACTTCCACATTTGGGGGAAGGGGAACTGGCATCATGTGGTGACAGAGGGAGGAAGAGAGAGGGGAGGGAGGTGACACACTTTGTAACAATCAGATCGCATGAGAACTAGGAGTGAGAACTCGCCCAATCCAGTGAGACTGGCACCCAGCCATTCATGAGGGATCTGCCTCCAGGACCCAAACTCCTCCCACTAGGCCAGACCTCCAATATTGGGGATCACATTTCAGCATGAGATTTGGAGGGTACGAATTTCGAGATTATATCACCTAGAACATAGACTATGTTTTGGAGCATTCACAGCCTAAGTAACTGAGACCAATCTCCTGCTTAAAATAGTAGAAAATTTAGAAAATAATATACACTATTTTGGAAATATTTTGAAAGAATATATGTACATATATATTTTATACATACACATATTTATATGTACAAATACATATACATCTATATATGTGTAGATATGTTACAGCATATATATATATATATATATATATATATATGCAAACACACACCTGTATATATGCTGTATCATATCTGAGAGACATCAAGGGAATACGGAATTATGCAATCAACCTCAAAGAGAAGAAACCATAAAGAAATATGGCAAATATTTGGGGCTCTTTATTCTGTAGTTTCACTAGATAGATAGATACTAAATAGAAATTTCTAGTTTAAGAATTCAATATGGCTGAGGTGGGCGAATCACTTGAGGTCAGGGGTTCAAAACCAGCCTGACTAACATGGTGAAACCCCGTCTTTACAAAAAATACAAAAAAATTAACCAGGCATGGTGGCGGGCACCTGTAATTCCAGCTACTTGGGACACTGAGGCAGGAGAATCGCTTGAATCTGGGAGGTGGAGTTTGTAGTGAGCCGAGATTGAGCCGAGGTTGAGTCTCAACCTCGGCAACAGAATGAGACTCCATCTCAAAAAAAAAGAAAGAAAAATTCAGTATACAAAACAAGAGCTGAAGTAGAATTATTTAATAATAGATCAGGTCCTGTTGAAGAGAGAATTTGGAATTTGTGAACTAAATATATCAGGACAAAATATCCAGAACTTTGTACAGTGAAAAAAAGGATGAGGAGTTCAGGAATCAGTCCAGGAGATACGAGACATAGAGTGAGAAGGTCCAGAAGGAGAGGAGAGACCACACGATAGAACATATACATAAAAATGTAACTTTGAGAAAATTTAAAAACTGATGAAAGATTTTAAGCTATGTATTCAAGAGGCCCTCCATCTCCAATCAAGAGAAGTAAAAAGAAACACAGAGATATACTTGGAACACGTAGACAAAGAATTGAAAACCAGAGATAAAGAAATAACAATGCCAAAAATTTTGGAGAAAAGGACAGACGACACTTATAGAAGCAAGAGAGTGACAGCAAACTTTCCAACAACAAAAACAATGGAAGCAAGAGAGCAATGACAGAATGTCTTCTAAGCAGAAAATTCATTACTGAAAACCTAGACTTCTATTTATATCCAGAGAAAATATTCATCACGAATACATGTAAATTAATGATGTTTTCAAATAACAAAAACACAACTTGTCATCTGTGGTTGCGTTTCAAGGAACATACCAAGTTATTTTTCAGGAAGAATATATCTGACACTAAGGAGTAGTTCAGCTAATGGAAAGGAATGAAGGACAATGAAAGTTTTAAACATATGGATAAATATAACTTAGTATTGACTATCATAAGTAACATTGTATTGTTCATTCATTGATGGTTTATTAAAATAGATTTGGACAATTTTTTGTGTTTTTGAGATGAAGTCTCACTCTGTCACTCAGGCTGGAGTGCAGTGGCACAGTCTCAACTCACTGCAACCTCCGCCTTCTGGGTTCAAGTGATTCTCCTGCCTCATCCTCCCGAGTAGCTGTGACTACAGGCAAATGCCACCTCACACGGCTAATTTTTTTTATTTTTAGTAGAGACAGGGTTTCCCCATGTTGGCCAGGCTGGTCTCGAACTCCTGACCTCTTGTGATCCACCCACCTCAGCCTCCCAAAGTGCTGGGATTACAGGCATGAGCCATCGCGCCCAGTCGACAATGGTTTTTAAGTGTTCTACAGTACAGTAGTTGTATTATTAGGAAAAAAAGTAAATATAATTAATTATTGAGATATACATATTCTAGGATAAGCAGTAAATAGTAAAATAATGCACAAATGTGCTAATGGAAGGAAACTATTCCACTAAAAATATTATTTGGTCAAAACCAAAGAAGGTTAAGAAAATGAAGAATTAAAAAGAACATAGAACAGACAGGATAAATATGGAAAGCAAATAGCAAAATGGTAGATTTAAGACAAAATATGTCTATAAATGGATGAATTGCTCCAAATAATAGATAAGTACTGTCAAGTATGCATTTTAAAAAAAATCTCCTACATGCTCCTTACGTGAGCTACATCTAAAATATAAAGGTAATCTAAGATTTAAAATAAACAGGAGGAAAATATTTACTATGCAAACAATAATCAAAAAAGCAGGTGTAACTATTTTAACGTGGGAGGGTGGTTGACTTTTAGGGAAAAGGCTATAAGAAATGCAAGGAAACTTTCACAATCACAAAAGGTTGGGCTCACCAGGAAGACGCAACAATTTTAAATTGGTATGCAACAACAACAACAGCAACAAAAGTCTTTGCTTAAGACAGTAAAAGGTCAAGCCAGAGTTGAAAAAAAAGATGTTTGTAACAGATAAACTCAAAAAGACTCTTATCTTAAATGTATATTAACTACTATAAAATAATAGCAAAAGCCTGACAATCCAAAAACATTGGTCAAGGTATGTGAATAAGCTATTTACAAGATAGGTTATCCCCACAATGAGAAATATATGAAGGAGCACTCACTCTCATTGCTACTTAGATAAATAAAAATTAAAATCTCTGCAAGATAACTCTATGTTCCTACCTGAAAAACTAATGAAGAAATCTGAAAGCAGTGTTGTTGAAAATCCAGTACAATAGGAACACTAATACTCTGCAAGTACGAGTGTAAAATGCTAAAATATATTTTTGATTCAACAATTTATAAAATAT
Source organism: Homo sapiens (assembly GCF_000001405.40). Lineage (NCBI taxonomy): Eukaryota > Metazoa > Chordata > Mammalia > Primates > Hominidae > Homo > Homo sapiens. The sequence goes on from NC_000003.12 coordinate 80,540,925, forward strand.
AAATATTTTTCCTATGTTAATATCTTTTTTTACCTTGAATAATATATAACTTAATATATATAAGGAAATTAGTATATATCCTCTTTTTCCCATTCCATTTTCATATCAACTTTTATGCATTATATCTACTAAAGGTGTGCATATACATCTTCTTTGAGCCAGGAATCCCCTAGTAGATTTAGACCCAAAAGAAATAAGCACATTTGTACCAAGAGACATGTATGAGAATACTCAAAGAGAAGCTATATTCTTCATAGCCAAAATCTGGAAACCACTTATGGGTCCATTAGGAGTAGAATTGGTAAATAAAGTCTGGGCTATTCATACAATAGAATACTATGCGATACTGAAACTAAATGAAATCATCTATTGGCAACATGATGGCAGGTAAACCTGGGGACTCTGAAGGCTCACTTACTTCCCTCTTTTGGTAACTTAGCAGAGAGTTGGCTTACTCAGACTAAGAAATCTGGAGACCGGGAAGTTGATTTCAATATACCTGCCATTTAAGACTGTTCCCTTAAATGGGCCCTTGGTGTGCAGACTTTGCCACAAGAGCTGCTTAGTTCCTGGTATTGTTCCTGGCCTTAGGACCCCTCACTATAGCTCTTGTTACTTACAGAAGGACAGTATTCCCTACTCTATTTTCAGCTAGCCTATAAAAAAAGCAAGGTGAGCCACCATGGTAGTGAATGCCTGTAGTCCTGCTACTGGAAAGGCCAAGGCAGGGAGATCACTTGTGCCCAGGAGTTCAAAGCTGTAGTTCATCATGACTGCACCTGTGAACAGCCACTGTGCTTCAGCCTGGGCAACACAGCAAGACTCTGTCTCTAAAATAAACAAACAAACAAACAAACAAACAAACAAATAAAGCAAAGAGGTGTGGGGAACCATTTGTGTTGTCTCTTGCTGTTTTTTTGTTGCATGCCTGGCCTGCTGGCCAAACCTGAACTTTTCTGCTTAAATTTTGGTCACAATACACGCAGAACATGTAGCCCCTGCTTATGCTTCTAAAAATATAAGCATTCATGAGACTGCTTGTGCTTTCCCACTTCTCTGGATGTTAAGTTTCCCCCCTAGTATACCCTATGTTATATCCACACTGTATGTGATTAGAGTTTCATAGCTGTAATGCACTTGCCTGCCATAGCAACATGGAGAAAACTTATATGCATAATGTTAAGCAAAATAAGCCGCTCACAAAAATATACAAATGGGATTATACTGTTTACATAAGTTCTAAAACAAGCAAAGCTAAATTATAGTATTTGACATCAAGATATCTGTGCCTCCAGAAAGGGGAGAATGAGTAGCGATTGATTGTGGGCACAAAGGGAGCCCTAGGGTGCCAATAATGTACTAATTTTTGATCTATGGTGGTTACATGTATGGTTGATGTGACGATTCATTCATTAGTGTATACATCTTCAGTGCATTTTTACCTTGGCATCAAAAGATGCTGTTTGAAGTTAATACATTAAACAATAAGGTTTTAAGTATATTTAGCATAACAAACATGTTGCAGAGACTATTTTTGCTCACTAAATATTCCCTGCTTTTGTCTACTTTTCCCAGCCTGACTTGCAGTTAATTTTGAGACTTGTGAGCAGAGTAGACAGTGAGCAGAATTAGTGTGTGCCACTTCTGGGCTGAGGCTTTTAAGACCTAGTGTCTTCTTGTGTCTTTCTTTTCTACTGCCATGGTGTCCTTGGAGGCCACATATTCCAGATGATGTCACTTCCAGATGGAAGGAGGCTTCCCAACCCCCATCAATCTTTATGTGTGTGGGAAATGAACCTGTGTTGCATTAAGCAGCTGAGATTTTTCTTTAAGAAACCAGAACTAATTACCTTAATACCAAATGTCAACATTACAAACCATAAACAAATCAATACAAATTGGTGGTTAAAAGGAACAGGATAAAAGGATATATACTGTTTTCCCTTACTACTCAGGGTAAGGAGTAAAATATATTAATATAGAAAACTTTTACACAATTTTATTTTAAAAGTTACTGTTAGATAAAGCATATGTCTTTCAAATTATATGAAACATCTACAAAGAAAAGATCGTTTTTTTGTGTATGCATAGAATGTATATGGAAAAAAAACACAAGAAAATATTAACATTGGTTGTCTCCAGATATAGGAACATGTGAATGTATTAAATGTACAAGCCATGAATAAGAATTACATTTATGAAATGTTATAGCCAATTTCAATAGAAATAATAAAGCATTTTCTTTAGATATGCACTTTGCATTTAAAAAATTATTTGCAATGTTTATTGAAGTACCACCTTAAATATGTCAGTCTATCCTTCCTAAAATGGTCTTGAAAATATCAGTGAAGTATAGATAGAGAGATAAGCAGCATCTGATTTTATATCTGGTCTCAGGAAGTGGTTAATTCAATTTATCAAATACTCCAGATTCAATAAGTAAAGCATTACATGACAAACTCTGCTGTTTTCTTTCTTTCGTGACAGCTCACATGCTCCATGAAGTTAACGTTTCCAAGGTTCTGTGAGATTTCACATGCAAGGGTAGGATTCCTTTTTTTGGACCATTCTTATTTCTTCCAGATAAAATTTAGTGATAGTATTAATTCTGGAAGCAGAAAAGGGTAAATGAAATATAAACAGAATTTTATGAATAATATAATGGTTTTGACTTTGCCTCGGTGAAGACATAAAATAGACATTTAAATATATGTTGTACTCTGTCAGAGTTTGATCTTCCAATTCAACACAGTATTCTCAAATTCACTCCTTTGCCAGGGAACCAAATATACATTTTATGTGTGTATCTCCCACCATAAAAATGACCTTAGCAGATCAATGATAAGTTCTTCAATAACCAGACTCTTTTATATATATATATATATATATAATATCTTTATATATATATAAAATATCTTTATATATATATAAAATATCTTTACATATATATAAAATATCTTTACATATATATAAAATATCTTTATATATATTTTATATACAGTGAGGAAAATATCAGCCATACTTTCATATGATCTTATCAATACTTTCTATAGATACCTCCCCTTGGGATAATAATAACTGCACCACTCATAAAGACACTTTTAGTAATGTGCCTTCAAAATGCATTTTAATCGTGAAAGCATGCATTGAATTTTTAATATTATAAAACTTGGAGAACATACTGTCCTCTTCAACACTTTTCTTGACTTTAAATAGCCTTTGGACTCTTGAAAAAGTTAAGCCTAAGTCACATTATGACTAGATGATTTAGTTTAAACTCATATGAAAGCCACTTCATCCCCTTCATCATCCTGGCTGCCCTTTTCTGACCCTTCTCAACTCTATTACATTTGTCTGATGATGTGGTGTTAGTTCATAGCTTGATTGAGGTGTTTATTGATTTCAGCTACTGCTCTCTACTATATATAAATAAGTCTAAAAGTGAGAAGGTTTAAATTTGATAATGAAAGAGAAGGTTATTTCATGACATCCACGATTTCTTTGATGGTTTATCTGATGGGCTGTCAAAAGAGGGCATATCCAGAAAACTCAGCACCTATGAAAGAAAATGACCCAGCCAGTGGAGTCCAGAGATACAGACCTAGGAATTCATAATCTCTAATGGGGAACTGAAAGATTGTTTGAGATGGTATTTTCATTTCTTTCACATAAGAGTAAACATTTGAGAGAGAAAAGGCTTGCAAGAAGTGAATAGTTGAACATGAACACGCTTTACACACACACACACACACAAAAAAAAAAAACAGTTACATGTTACTTAATGACAGGAGTTTGCTCTAGGAAATGCATAGGTCATTTTGTCATTGTGCAAATATCACAGAGTGCACTTACACAAACCTATATAGTGTAGCCTACTACACACCTAGGTTATGTGGCACAGCCTATTGTTCCTAGGCTGCAGACCTATACAACATATTACTGTACTGAATACTATAGCCAGCTGTAATACAATGGTTAACTATTTGTGCATCTAAACATAGAAAATGTGCAGTAAAATATATTATAAGCTTATGAGACAATTGTTGCATACGCAGTTCATCATTGACCAAAATGTTGTTATGTGGTTCATGACTGTATATGTTTTCTGTATTCACTGAAAGCAGACCCCAAAACAAAGGGTTTAATACAGATAGTTTATTTAAAAAGTGATCCAAGGAATCATGAGTGACAAACATAGGGAAGTAGAAAGAGAAGGGAGCAGGGTAAGACAGGAGGATGTGTAATCCAATTTGCACCTGTTACGTGTAACTGGTGCTTGATGTGATTGGATGGTCTGAGGAGACTTGTAAAATGTATTTCAGAATAGTTGACCAGGGAGGCAAAAGTGAAAAGCATTTATTTCTTGATTTCAGTTCCTCCATTAAATAAAGGTTGCCTATTGAACTTGATTTTCCTATCTTTTAAGGTGTCTATAAAAGAGCACTGAGCTGGTTCCCTGGGTGTCCCTCACTGCAGGGTCATAATAACCTTGGAATAGGAATGAATATTTGTTCCACAAAAGACCAGAGCTGACCCTGTGCTCAACTGTTCAAAGCCTCCTTGGCACCGCTTTGCTGCAACAGTGGCCTGAGCAAGAGTGGGGCCAAGAGGATTTTATAAGCAATCTTGTGTATCTGATAGATTTTTTTATATTATAAAATTAAATACATACCTGATTGTAGTCATTATCAATATTTATTGATAATTATTCAAATAATTGATTATTGGAAGGATCCTCGTTATACTTTATAATCTACAGGTGATCTGAAATGTTTTAAAATATTTAATACATATACCCTTATTAAATCATTATATTATAAAGTAATAATTAACTGAATTAACCTAATAATATTTTACATTTAGAAGAGTATTAGTGAGTGGATTTTTTTTAGTATCTGGGATAAGCTAATTGGTCATCTTGGCCATGGACCCTGTTTTCAACACATAAATCCTGATGGAATATTTAGAAAAAGTTTATATATGGCTTTCTAGCAATTATTAACAATAACTGATAAAATATTAGCAGTTTTAGATGTGTATTCTTCTTTTTTTTTTTTTTTTAGATGAAGTTTTGCTCTTATCACCCAGGCTGGAGTGTAGTGGCTTGATCTCATCTCACTGCAACCTCCGCCACCTGGGGTTCAAGCGATTCTCATGCCTCAGCCTCCTGAGTAGCTGGGATCACAGGCGCATGCCACTAGGCCCAGCTAATTTTTGTATTTTCAGCACTGACAGTGTTTCACAATGTTGGCCAGGCTGGTCTTGAACTCCTGATCTCAAGTGATTCTCCTACCTTGGCCTCCCAAAATGCTGGGATTACAGGCATGAGCCACCATGCCTGGCCTAGTTGTGTCTTCTTTAACCACTGTAAACACATTGAGCAATATTATTCTTCACTCAGAGAGTCCAATGAAAGAACAGATTTTTCTGAGTCTAAATACAAGGTTTGAAGGGTAAAAACAAAGGCTGTGTAAAGACTTCCCTAGTACAAAGACTTGCTAGAGTGTTTTGGAAAGCTCTAATCTTTAGAAAAGATTATCTCTTACTAATGTGAAAAAGATAATTTATAGCATGAAATTAGATATAAACATGAGTTTAGAACTGTAGCTAAGTTTGTGCAATGTTCACAATTGTGATGTTGTCTTTATTAAACTTTTTCCACTGGATCTTTGTTATTAATAGTTCTTTTTGCTCTTTTTCTCACTCTATTTTCACTTTAGTCATTATGGTCCCTGTTAATTCTTTTGTTGTAACTCTTGGTTATTATTTTCATTCTTTATTTGATTTCCTTGTTTCATTAGTATTTGTTCAATATGTCTCAGATTCTTGCAATTCTGTCCTTACATTTCTTTTTTATCTTTTTAATTTTTAAATTTTATTTTATTTTTATTTATTACTATTTTTATATTTTTAAAAATGTTTGTGGGTACGTAATAGGTATATAAATTTATGGGGTACATGAGACATTTTGATACAGGCATGCAATGTGAAATAAGCATGTCATGGAGAATGGGGTATCCATACCCTCAAGCATTTATCCTTTGAGTTACAAAGAACCCAATTACACACTTTAAGTAATTTTAAAATGTAGTTATTGTTGACTATAGTCACCTTATTGTGCTACCTAATAGTAGGTCTTAATCGTTCTTTCTGACTATTTTTTCTGTACCCATTAACCATCCCCACTCCACCCCACTAAGCTTCCCAGCCTCTGGTAACCATCCTTCTACTGCCTATGTTCATGAGTTCAATTGTTTTTGGCTTTTGGATCCCACAAATAAGTGAGAACCTATGATGTTTGCCTTTCTGTGCCTAGCTTATCACTTCTTGGATTTCTTAAAATTTTGAAGATTTGATTCAGAAACAAATGGATGGATCTACATGTACCACAAACAAAATATCATTTCTGTCATTAACCAGTGTTAACATTTCACAGTTAATATGTGTATTTTTATGTGGCCATTTGATATCATACATTCGTGGGCTTGCATACTACTAGAGCAAACCTAGATACCAACGTAAGTTTTTATGAATTTTTACAGCAATTATTCACTGTGCACATTGGAAGTACAAGTCTAAAATAAGAAGAAAGAGAAATAATTGAATATAATTATGAAATGTGTACTGGGGGAAATATGAAAGATGGAATTCCAAATGTGCAATTGTGAATTATTGAGGAGGAATAAATAAATCAATAAATATGTTGAAAGACTAAAATATGAAAGTCAGTGGCTTGCAGAATAAAATACTTCATGATAAGAAGATTTTCAAAGATTACAAGGATAAGTTGTTGTTAACCTTTAACAAGAAGACACAATTGTTTTGAAAAATGTTTAGAATTAAGATTTAGACCTAAGATTAGAGTGGTTTGTGGGATGTTTCAGTGATACAATATCCCTCTCAATATTACAAAACTTTTAAAGTTTGATATTTTTAAGTATAGAAATGTTTCCCATGGGATGTAAGGCAGTAAGAACATGCATGGTATTGATGGGAACTTGACAGTTATGCTGTGACAAGTGGTAAACCTAGCGTATAGGTGGTTATGCCTGGAAACTTTTGAGGTCTTTCTTAATCCTGGGATTCCATGACACGTACATTAGCAAAAACAGGATGCCACGACAGAGAGACCGCATAGTAGAAAAACATATAACAAAATGAAGAACATAGGAAAAATGTCACAGGTGAAGGCACATTTTCTGGTTCATCAGTGGTGTGTTGTACCTGAGTCTTCATATGGTGGAAGGGACAAAGCCTCTCTCTGGGGCTTCTTTTATAAGGGCACTACTGCCTTCCATGAGAGCTCTGACTTCATAACCTAATAAACTCCCACAGTCCTCATTTTCTAGAACCATCACACTGGGATTAGCTTTCAACATGTGAATATTTTGGGGACACTCAAATTTTCAGACTATAGCAACTGTGAATCTGAGTCTTACTCTGAATCATACTATTTCTAAAGAAAGATTTTTTTAAGTCTCCATATTCTATTGTTACTTGTCTATTTGGTGAGGAAACTGAAAGAAGGAAAATGAACAAGGCAGGACTCAGGAGGTCTTTCCTTCTGGCTCTAATGTAATAATGGTTGTGTTAATAAACATTACTAATCTCTAACTATTTTTTAAAATGCATTTAAAATACTGTTTAAGTCTTTTTGCAATCTCTTCAATTTTTGATATAGCCACCCAACAGCATAGAATTGAAAATTTTCATTATAATCCTGATTTAATATCTGAAAAAACATTTAAAGTATACTATTTATATTAGAGCAAAAATCATTCTGATAACTCTGTTTAATGTAAAGAAGCCAAATAAATTGCGCACTTATATAACCTGTCTTATTAAAAATAAATAACTATGAAGAGTGATTAGAGAAAGAATGTTCAATGCATTCATTATTGTTACACACATTACCATATCCTTTCTTTTTCTCTCTCAAACTTGTGACCCCGATCACCAAGAAACATCTAATAGACATAATACTAATTTCAAGTGATTTGTTGAGATAATCGATCAATTAATTAATATATACCTATGAAAGTGAATACACTAGGCATGTTATCTAGATAGACTTCACAGTCTACTTAAACAGAAGCATTGTATAACCCTGTGCTTTCCCAACTTTAACTTTCATGTCAATTACCTATAGATCTTGTTAAAATGCACCTCATGTTAAGCATTTTTAAGATTGTTCCATGCTTCCTGGTCTTGTCTTCCAAATTCATTGATACTTCATATTTTCAGCCTCATCTCCTGTTGTTTACTCATTACAATGTTATAGTAAATTGTCCATTTTTTCTTACATTAGACTTGTTATTACATAGCAGCATCAAAAGCTTTTCACCTATTCCCTTTAATCTCAGGGTTTCAGTGAGAGCCAGCCCTCTGTGTAAAGCTTTTGTCTTTTGCCCTGACATTTAAAGTCCTCCGTACATTTCACAAATTCTTTCATGGTGACTTTTTTCAGACTGTGTGCTCTTGATTCCACCTGAAACCATGCATTCTTTTGTATGTTTCAAAAACCAGAGTAAGACATTATGCCACATTTTTTTCTGCAATGATAACTATATGTTACTCATTTTCTTTGATTAATATATTTGAAGTTTAATATTATTATTCAGTTTCTTAGCCAAATAACTCTGCACTCTACTTTTTGTTTATTTTCATTTATAAACTCTAACAGTTTGATGCAGCCCTGACTGAAATGAACACAATGATATACTTCTTTTATTGCAAAATTATTCTCTAAAAAAACTTAAATTATTTATCAAATCAATAGTCAGATAATAACTAAGTTGGCCTTTTATGAGTTTTAATAAATAAAACTATTTAAATATATGCTCACTGAAAAAAAAATCAGTGCTCTAAAATCATAAAAATATGTTACCCTGGATTTTAAAATAGCACCGACAAATATAGTAATTAAATCAGTTTTCTAATTAGAAATGTTCACAGTGGCAAGTTTTACTTTGAATTTAATTATTTACACTATCACAACAAACATACTAACAAGCCAAAAATAAGTGAAAAAAGCAAACCTACAAACAGGAAAGTAATAAATCTCCCATATACTATGAGAACTATCGGTATTAAAAAATTGTATCTTCAAACAAAATTTGTCATTTTCAGTGCGGATGCTTTTAGACGAAAATTAGCTGGCATATTAAAATAGTGATGAGCTCACAGTCTTTTTTAAAATTAAATGTCAATTTAGTAATAAGTGAGCCTTCCAAAAATATTCTAGATATATGGGAGGGGAGAAATATAAATATACATGTTAGGACGGCTACACCATTAAGAGGAAAATTGCTCCTTTCTAGTCTTTGAGTTACTTAAGATTAAATTGTTGGCTCAGTGTCTACGATCATCCCAGTGGCTGCACGCCAGATTAGCAATATTGCAAACCTGAGTCTATCAGCTCGAGGTAGTGTTGCTGGCGTGAGCCTTTGCAGCACTTAATTTAATTAGATGAGGCTTCCATTGTTGAAACTGCTGAACCCAGTATTTTTGACTGAGCCAAGGAAGAATCTAATTTATTAGACCTTTGAAACTGCACTGTAGAATTGTTATTGTGGTGTCTCACAGCAACTGCAATGTTTTGAGTATAAATTCTGAATCCCAAGGAAAGCAGTATTTCAGGGATCTATCCTATGTTTATTGCTGATGCACTAGGCATTTTTCTTTGGAGCTATGCATCCTATTATGATCTTGGTTATTGTTGGCCTGCAAGTTCAAATACAGTTTTCCATTATTATTCCATGAAGAAATTTGGTGCTGTGATGGGAGTAGTGAGTGGGATAAAGGAGAGCTATATTTTGTTTCACCTTTGTTTTATTGTGTGATATTGAAATTTCCATTTTATTCCAACATGCTTATATACAAGAAAAACGACAAACATTTCTCTAGAAGCAGGAGACATTATAAAGCTTATAAAATAAATTCTAAAAGGAGCTTTGAAATATTTAGGAGAAAGGAAATTAATTTTTATTGAGCAACTGCTTCATGCTTGGTAAAAAATGGCAAACATAAAAACAAAATAAGCAACAGCAAAATCTCTTGGTCTTGGCCTCAAAAGAGATTGTATTTTAATGGAAGAACTAAACATGATCAATATATTTTCTAAGTACGTATCTGATTTATAAATACAACTAAATAATTTGTAGACTATATTCAACTTGAATAAATGAAGGGATATTTAGATTTTATTCTATATGCAAAAGAGGTATTAAATTACATAACCTTTTAAGGAAGACATTTGTATTTTTGACTCTTTCTTTAGAAGCAATTGATGGTATTTGTTTTGGACATAAATTATCTCAGTACAAGGCAGTGGACATATATGTTAAAGGTATGAGATTTGGGTATGAATTTTTATAACATCACTCAGAAATCACATTTCCATTTACTGAGAAAATATTAATCAATTGTATCATTCACGATTTAAGCATTGCCCTAGTTCTTGAGCATACTGCAAAATAAGATATCTATGGTCTCTGTTCTAAGTTTTTAATAGAATTATAATGTACCAGGACATTGGCATATACAGAAAAAAGTATCAAGTGTTATATTATAAAGGATATTATGGTTCATGGGAGGAGACAATAGAAGGATCTAACCTTGGCCGATGGTCCAAACTACGGTTCCCTAAGGAAATTATATTCAAGCCTTTAACTGATAGGTAGATACTGCGTTATTATGCCTTTATAGTCTTATTGACACATACATAGCTTTCTGTTTTACTAGCTGAAATAGCTCTGTTCTTTATAAGGGAACTACAGAGTATGTATAAAGAAAAATAAATGTGTTTCTTTCTTTATAGTATTTTTTAGTCTTTATAGTCTTTTTTCACTGTAGGACTGAATGTCTCTACAGATTCAAATAATTTAGGTTATTTTTCGAGGAAAAATAGAAAGGAAAGTGAAGTTTTTCATTAAAAACATATTTGCATAGGCTTTTATTATGGGATAAAGTAGTTAAAATATTTAGGTGCCTTAAAAGATAACATTCAAAGTAAGTTGTCACTGAGAAAATATGTACTACTCTAAAAGAAGAAATTATTTTTATTACTAATTTTATTATTTTCATAATTATTATTTTAATGAGTGATCACCTTTGTAACTTTTTATTCATCTGAAAAATAATAAAGGCCTTTGTTTTTAGCACAATGGGATTCTTTGTTATGAAGTGGCTACCAGGTGGGAAGATGGCTGGTCCACGGTAGGGATAGAGGAAGGATGTTGAGAAAAATCATGGAGGAACTTCAAAACCAGTGCCTTTGAACTTCTGTATGCATCCAAGTCATCTTGGGATCTTGATAGTATATCGGTGATGACCATAATACTAGGGTCATTAAGGTGATGCCTGAGAATCTTTAGCTCTTAGGTGATTGCATTTTCTTATCTATACACCATACTTTGAGTAGCACAGTTTCAGGCTGAGAATTTTAAACTGTATTGGTATAACAATGGGAAGGTATCAAGGAATTCTAAGCAGGATAGTGACAGATGTGATTTTTATTTTTATAAGATTGCTCTGTGAAAAAATGCAGAGTAACCTTATATTTATATTGTTCAGTCAAAGAAGATAGTATGAAAAGGCTACATGCTATCTGACTGTAACTACATGACATTTTAAAAAGGATAAAACTGGGAAGAGAGTAAAAGGACCCATGGTTTCCAGGGATTAGGAGAAAGGAATAGAGGGAGGAAGACATGGAAGGGAGAATTTTAGAGCAATTGAAACTATTTTGTATGATACTGTAATGGTGGAATTATGTTATACTTTTTCAAAACCAAGCAGATGTATAACACAGAGTGAACTCTAATGTAAACTATAAACTTTAATTAATAATAATGTGTCAATATTGGCTCATCAGCTACAACAAATGTATCATGCTAATGTAAGATATTAATAATATAGAAAACTGTAGTGACTGAGAGTGGGTTATGCAGGGAATCTACTTTCTGTTCAATTATTCTGTAAACCTAAAACGACTCTAGGGAAGAAAGTCCAGTATTAAAGAGAAAAAGATCACTCTTACAGCAGCGTAACAAAAAAGATAGGAATAAAAAAAAATGCAGTGCAGAAACTATTTTACCTTGTAATTATTTTTCAACATCAAATCAGTACTGCATAATAATATTGAGTCCATTATCATGAATCTGTGGTTCATGACACAAAAGTTGTGTTCCCTTGATTGCTACATTAGTAAAAATAAAAAAGAGAAATATACAAAATAAGCACGTGAATCAAGTGGTACAATTAAAGTAACAACAACAAACTTTACCAGACCCATGAATATAGAACTGTTTTTTTCATTCTATGTATTATGCCTTAGTATGTGGTTCATGCTACTTAGGTGGAAGGTAGCAATGGTACGAAACACTAGGATGAGAATAATAAGGGAGAAAAATATGCGAATTCATGGTATATTTACACAGTAGAATTTACAGGACTTGATGAGTCACAGAATATGAGGAGCAAAGAGAATGCAACATCTAAATTTACTCACAAGCACCTGGCCAAAGAACTGAGCAGACGTTGGTGCTTTTTACTGGCACAGAGATTAGGAGAGAATATTTTATTAGGAGGATAATAATGGAAACAGCAGATCGTGGAATATGTGCTGGCTTAAGAGAGAAACAAAGTATAGTAATTGGTGATGAAATATGTATAAATAATAAGTAAGAAAATAAATCAAGCTATAATTTCTGATACAGTCAAAGTAAAATTGTTTTGGGGTAGCCGTGACAAGAGGATTACCTTGTTCTACTGAAGATTATTTAAATTATTAATTTCAGAAATGACTGCATCTTGGCTTCTGTAAGTTCAAATTTATAAACATGCATCTTTTTATTGGAAAATGGCAGAGAAAGTAGTCAAAGGAAGAGGTTATCAGAGAACTGAAATGTCCACATTTTGGATGAGTAATCTGTGAGGATAATGGAATCATACTGAGAAACAAAAGGAACAATCATGAAAATTAAGAGTGTATGTCAGGCACTAATATCTTAAATAAATGAGGGGATATATTTAGGAGCTCAGAAGTGGACTGTAATAGAAAGGAAACAGTCATGTATTTGACTTTTATGACTCTTGAAAAAGTGGGATTTAAAGAAAAGCATTAGTTTTTCTTTATTCGGAAACTGACGTTCAAGAACAACGAAGATAACAATCACATTTCTAACCCTGGTAGGCATGGGGTGAGCGAATAAGGAAAATCACCACTAAAGAAGATTTCATGTATATATGGGAGGTTGTTGACTATGACTAAGAGTTCCAGAGTGCTCAGTCTAAGGAGTTGGGATACAAGGAGAGAAAGAGGTTTTAATTAGCGGAGAAAAAGAACAAAGAGGTTAAATGTAAAATAAATATCCTTCTACTTTGGACAGATGCAGGAAAGAGGAATCTACTTTTGTCAGAAAGGTACAGGAAAATAACAGGGTAGAGGCACAGAAAATTTTACATCCACAAACTCCAGGAAGATACAGATTCTCTGGCTGCCTTGTAATGGATTCCCTATAGTTGTACTATGAGTTTGAATGTACCTTTCAGTTCCTACGGTGTTGAAAGTTTTGAGTAATGCATGAGTGATTCATAAGAAGCTAGCAAGTATCCATCTATGATCGTGCATGTGAAGAAGTGGAGCTGCAGGTGAGAAAGGTCCAGAAAGATAGTTTCCCAATAGCATCTTGACAATGATTTCAATAGGACAGCCCGTTTGAATGTTGTGCACACCAGGTCTGAACTCCAAATAGTCTTGAATGGATGAAATGAAACAGATCAGCACATTTTTGTGGATTTATATTTTTATGAATGAACTGTAACTTCTAAATGCACAATAAATAAAAATATAATTTGAGATAGTCAGAATTTTCAATTATAATGTGTTAAATGTAATCAGCATTTAATAGTTTCAAAGTGCAGAGTTAACTAGAAAAAAATTTCTCTTTACCTATATTATCATAACTTTTATTTGGAAATTGATCTTTAGAAAATTTAACTGTAAAGAAACATATTTCTATTCATTTAAGATGACCCTTGAGAATTGCATTAAAAGTTTTTTTCCTTTATGTGGAGTAGTGATTCAGAATATTTTTAGAGCATTGAGAGTGCTTTTTAGCAATTCTCCTCATGGTGAGCCATAGGTCATTTAAAATTTATGCTACTCGCTCAACAGGAAAGTTACCAGGATCCTGGGCTGTATGAAAATTGATAACATTCATTGATCAATGATGTATGAACTGAATCTACAACTTGTTTATTTGGCTTCACCTGCACTTCCTTGACATTTTGATTCATATTCTTGGCAATACTTGTATGAAGTCACATGCATGCTGGAAAATAATCAAATCATTTTGATACTCTAATGATATACAATTTGTGCAGTAGCCACTGCCTCTAACTCTTATCCAGGAATCCAAGTCATTGGGATAATTTTAAATGGAACATGTATGTTAAAATCCCATGAGGATTTTCTTGGGATTTGCTGTTTTTGTAATACAGCTACTACAAATTCCAAAGAAGGATATAGCTTGATATCTATTTTCTAGGTCCAGAGAATTTTGCCATAAATATAAAATCGTATAATATTCCAATGAATTTTTTTTAAAAAGGTCAAATGTGTAAGAAGCTGTTAAGATTATTGTATTTGAAAAAACTGGAAAATCCACTGGGCTTGATTTGCTATGGTCTGTTAGGTGGTTATCCTTTGTCATCATCTGCTTGCAAAGGCTTCACTGATTTCTGGACAGTTTTTTCTTTTATTGCATGTCCTTTTAAAGTAGACTCCTAGTTTATTTCTGAGCCAGAGTTACTACTGGCTCTTCTCTTCCCTTGGTGTATCAGGATTTCATTCTGAGGTCCATGATGTTTTACTGTTGTTCTTTAAAAGTCGAGCCAAGCCCTTGCTTTGTTGTACTAGCCCATCCTATTAGTCAAATTTTCTTTTCTTTCTTTCTGTTTTTCTTTTCTATTTTTTTTTTTTGTTGTTGGAGTCTTGCTCTGTCGCCCAGGCTGGAGTGCAGTGGCGTAATCTCAGCTCACTGCAACCTCCACCTCCTGGGTTCAAGAGATTCTCCTGCCTCAGCCTCCCGAGTAGCTGGGACTACAGGCACATGCCACCATGCCCGGTTAATTTTTTGTGTTTTTAGTAGAAATGGGGTTTCGCCGTGTTGGCCAGGATGGTCTCCATCTCCTGACCTCATCATCCACCCACCTCGGCCTCCCAAAGTTCTTGGATTACAGGCGTGAGCCACCGCGCCCAGCCTCAAATTTTCTTTTGCTACCTAATTCCCCCACAGAATGAATATCCTACCCCTAAATCTTGATCGGTTCAAACACTGGAATTTAAATATGCTATCTCTATTCTGCCTTGTGTCCTATAATCTCCAACTGATAAAATTCTGCTGCTTATACTCTGCTGCTGGAAAGTTGGACTCTAGAACAAAACTAACCGAATTGGAACTACTGACTATCTATATTAACTTGGATTATTTACTTAATTATCCCACTTGTGTCTACATTTTTTTTTCTATAACATAGACAATGATTACAAAATGCCTACCATATAGGGTTGTTCTGAATATTAGAGAAGTTAATACTCATTAGTGGTTAAACAGTGCCTGGCACTCCACAAGTATTTACAAAATGAAATGTCTATGTAAATACACACTTATTTTCATTCATTTATTATAGTTTTTATCTTTTGCTAATGATATTTACAATCAGCCCAACACTTTTATCTATTACAAGCCCTCCATAACTTTTTTCCTTATCTAGAATTTACCTTAGGTTTCACAATTATAAATTATTTTTACATACTTTCCTGCAATACCTTACAGGCTTTGTCTGTGTCTGTTTTCAAATTGCTAGTGGCTTGCATGACTTACTCACTAAAGATTTTTCATGCATAAAATATCTCTCTCATGAAGTTGTTTCAAGGACAAAATAGATAATATATGGTAAACACATGCCAGAGTGCTGAGCACTCAGTAATGCTCAATAATTCTTGGCTCGCCACCCCATCTGCTATTCCTATTTTGAATGAAAAGTCTCAACTTGTCCTATTGCAGAACAAGGCTTGTTTATGACATGTAGGTAATGGTGATTTACAGCCAATAAACTTTGGGGCAACAGCTTGAAAGGCAATCTCTTCCCTTAGAAGTGATAAGCATATTTAATTTTAGCTTTCCACTATCTTAGGGGTTAGTTAAACACCAGGCAACACTCAGTAAATGTGACCATTAACTACACTTGCTGGAAAAATAGAATAATTGAGACTGGAAACCACAAAGTAACTGAACAAACTACATAATTAAAAACATAAACAGGTCTAATTCATAAAATAATTGCAGCAATATTAGGTAACAACTATTATACAACTAGTCTCTTTAACTAGTAAATTAAATTTTTGATGATCTCTGTATGCACAAAATATGTATAAGAAAATATATAGGTATTATAAAGTATAAATTTTTAATTCCTGACAGAAATCTATCAGCCATAATTTCTGGATTTTAGGGTATTTTAGATAATGACATAATGTTTGAGAAAGATTTACTGTAATTTTTTTCAGATTCTGATTGTGAATTATGTATTACCTGCCACATACTCAGAATAGAGTCTGAGAGAGACTTCACTGATACATTGTTTATTTAATGACTATAAATTATAAAACTATCCTAGTGATAGTTCGGAAAATCGCAACATAATATAAAAGAAGGAACAAAATTTCAGTGAAAAAAAATGCCTCGGCTGATAATTGCTTAAAAATACAGTATCAAATACTTTTAAGGTAGCTATGTAAATTTGTAGATATAATACATTTTGTGATCAGATCTGAAACACTGTTTAACATCTTTATCTATATCAAATGAATGACAGTTAGAAAACACCATTTATGACATGTATCATCACCTAAAATTATCCATATAAAATCTTAGCAACAATAAGCAAAACCCATGTACTGTTACTTTCCTCCTAATGCATTAATTGATCTTCATGGGTTACACATTTACTAATATATACTGAATGCATTTATGTACTCATTTCATCAACACTTGTTGAACAACTTACTACATGCCTTTAATTGCCTCTGTTTATATACTATATGCTATTTGCCTTGCAAGGGTTAAATAATGTTGTTTTATATAAAGAAATAGATACTTTACCTGCAATATGGCTAAAATGAGATGCAGAATTACAAGATGATATTTTTGATGGGTATTGTCTCACATAAACTAATCCTTAAGGCAATGAAAATAGAAATGGAATATATATGAGATATATATAGATTTATAAACTATATGTATATTTGAGATTCTATTAATTATATATAGAGAGACTTAAAATAGTATTGGGCTATGGGGTAAGTATTAATTAGAAACACAGTGTTTTTAAAAATATAAAACAGAAATTTATCCTCACAGTTCTGGAGGCTGGCAAGTCCAAAATCAAGGTACCAGCACCTAGTGACGGCTCTCTTGCTGTGTCCTCACTTGACTGAAGACAAAAGGGCAAGACAGAAACTCTGTGCACCCACATGGCAGTAGAGCTGAAGAGGGTGAACTCACACCTCAAAGCCATTTTTACACTGCCTTGAATCTATTCATTAGATTTTCGCCCTCATGACTGAAACATCTCCCATTAGGCCACACCTCTCAACACTGTTGCATTCAGGATTAAGTTTTCAACACATGAATTTAGGAGTTTACATTCAGACTATTATAGTTGTTATCACATAGTTGCTTTATGTGTTGCAGCAGTGTCCTGGTCCTGTACCCATTGCCTGTACCCTTACTGTATCTAGGAAGTAACTAACTTACCTTTGATTTTTCAGGCTCATAGGTGGAAGGGACTTGCCTCGTCTTATATGGTACTTTGGATTTGGACTTTGGGGTTAGTGTTGAAATGAGTTAAGACTTTGGGGGTCTGTTGGAAAGGCATGATTGGTTTTGAAATGTGAGGACATAAGATTTGGGAATGGCCAGGGTGGAATGATATGTTTTGGATGTGCCTCCACCCAAATCCATCATTTCTTTGTATACTTATTGATTGATGGGCATTTGGACTCATTCCATCTTTTTGCAACTGCAAATGGTGCTGCTATAAACCTGTGTGTAAGTATCTTTTTTCGTATGACTTCTTTTCCTCTGGGTAGATACCCAGTAGTGGGACTGCTGGATCAAATGGTAGTTCCACTTTTAGTTCTTTAAGTAATCCCCAGATTGTTTTCCATGGTGGTTGTGCTAGTTTACATTCCTACCAACACTGTAAAAGTGTTGCCTTTTCACCACATCCTTGCCAACACCTATTACTTTTTGAATTTTTGTTATGACCATTCTTGCAGGACTGAGATGGTATCACATTACAGTTTTGACTTGCATTCCCCTGATCATTAGTGATGTTAAGCATTTTTTCACTTGTTTGTTGGCCTTTTGTATACCTTCTTTTGAGTTGTGTATTCATGTCCTTGGCCCACTTTTTGATGGGATTTTTTGTTTTGTTCTTGCTGATTTGTTGGAGATTCTTTTAGATTTGGGATATTAGTCCTTTGTCAGATGTATAGATTGCAGATTTTTTCACATTCTGTGGGTTGTCTGTTTACTCTGCTGCTTACTTCTTTTACTGTGCAGAAGCTTTTTAGTTTAAGTCCTACGTATTCATCTTTTTTTTTTTCTTGTTGTGTTTGCTTTTGGGTTCTTGGTCATAAAGTCTTTGCCTAAGCCCATGTCTAGAAGGATTTTCCAGTGCTATCTTCTAGAACTTTTGTGGTTTCAGGTCTTAGGTTTAAGTGTTAGATCCATCTTGAGTTGATTTTTGTATAAGGTGAAAGAGGAAGAACCAGCTTCATCCTTCTACATGTGGCTTGCCAATTATCCCAGCACGATTTGTTAAATGGGGTGTCTTTTTCACACTTTGTGTTTTCTGCGGACACAATTGCACAGTACTCAGCCTGCTCTAATATGCAAGTGCCACCTACCGGCCTGGAGGTTGAGCTGCACAACCCAATGTAATATCTGCTGACAGAAATGCACACTCCTGGGGGTCAAGATAAGTTTTCTGCAACATCTATGTCCCCCTCTCTGCAGGAGGCCGTGAACTTGCTCACATGCCAGTACACTGCTACTACAACCAGCATGTGAGAAAGCCACCACATCAAGGCCATCTGTAACCAAGGAATTAATACAGAGTCTTGGCTCCCTAAAAACACCCAGAAGCAAAACCAAATGACACTGCTCAACATACATTAAGATCACGTGCTCAAGGGGGAAAAAGTTTCATCCAAGTGAAAGTAAATTCAAAAATAAACAGTGAACAGCTTCTCCAGATGAGGAAAAAAATAGTATAAGAATTCTGGCGGTACAAAAAAAAAAGGGGTATTACAACAACCCAAAGGATAACACTAACTCTCCTAAATCTCTAGTAGTAGATACTAAGCAAAATGGAAATTCCAAAATGTCAAAGAAAAAGTTCAAAATATGGATTGTAAGGTAACACAAGAGATTCAGGGGAAAGTTGAAAGCCCTCCTAAATCTCTAGTAGTAGATACTAAGCAAAATGGAAATTCCGAAATGTCAAAGAAAAAGTTCAAAATATGGATTGTAAGGTAACACAAGAGATTCAGGGGAAAGATGAAAGCCAGCACAAAGAAGTAAGAAAAACAATTCAGGATATGAATTAAAGATATACTAAAAGATAAGTATTTTTAAAAAATAGAACTTCTGGAAATAAAAAAGTCATTAATGGAATTACAAATTACAGTTGAAAGCTTTTCCAATAGACCAGGCTAAGCAGAATAAATAATTTCAGAGCTTGAAGACAGGTTTTAAAAATTCATCCAAATCAGAGAAAAATGAAAAAAAAAAAAGATGAAAAAATAAACAAAGTCTTTGAGAAATAGTAGATTATGTACAGCATATAACCCTATGGGTCATAGATATTCCTGAGAGAGAAAAAGAAAGAATAAAATGTTAAATGTTTTGAGCACTTTACATATCATTATTAACCTTGAAGGTAAATGAACTAAATGTTTCACTTAAAATATATAGATTAGCAGAAAGGATTACAAAAAAAACAAATAAACCAAGATTTAAACATATGCTGCTTTTAAAAAACCCACCTAACTGGTAAAGACCTTTATAGACTGAAGATAAAGTGCTGGAAGAAGATATTCCATGCAAACAGAAACCAAAAGCCAGCAGGAATAACTCTACCAATCTCAGAGAAAACAGACTTTAAATCAACAACATAAGAAAAGACAAAGAAAGTCATTATATAATGATAAAGGGATCAGTTCAACAAACAAGCTAACAATCCTAAATATATATTGTGCTCAACACCAGAACACCTAGAATCATAAAAGAGACACTGCTAGACCTAAGAAAAGAGATAGACAGCAATACAATAGTGGGTGATGGCAAAACTCCAGTAACATCACTAGACAGATAATCAAGGCAGAAAATCAACAAAGAAACTATGGACTTTAATTGGACTATATGAAATGGACCTAACAGTCATTTGCAAAACATTTTACCTAGTAACTACAGAATATACTTTCTTCTTATCTATATATAGAACATTCTCCAAAACTGACTATATATTAGGCCACAAAACAAGTCTCTTAAAAAAGTGAAATTATGTCAAGCATCTTCCAAAAGCACCATGGAATATAATTAGAAATTAATACCAAGAGGAACTGTCAAAACTATATAAATGCATGGAAATTAAAAAATCTGCTCCAGAATGATCTTTGAGTCAATGCTCAAGTTTAGGTTGAGAATCAAAAATATTTTGTAGCAAATAAAAATAGAGACACAACATACCAAAACTTAAATACAGCAAAATCAGCATTAAGAGGGAAGTTCATAGCATTAAGTGCCTACATCAAAAAATATGGAAAGGTCAAAAATTAACAGCCTAACATCACACATTGAGGAACTAGATAAACAAGAATAAAACAAGCCCAAAGCTAGCAGAAAAAAAGAAATTACAAAGTCCAGAAAACAAGTAAATAAAATTGAAACCAGAAACTGCAAATAATCAACAAAACAAAGTTTTTTCTTTCAATAAATAAATAAAATGTATAGTCTTCTAGGTAGATTAACCTAGAAAAACAGAAAATTCAAATAAGTGCAATGAGAAATGAAAAAGGAGACATTAGAACTGATATCACCGAAATACTATCGATCATCAGAGACTACTTTGAGTTCTCTATGCAAATAAACTAGATACCTAGGGGGGAAAAATCTCTGTATAGAACACCAATAGAAGAAATTGAATATTACACAAACAAATGGAAAAATATCTCATGCTTATGGATTGGAAGAAGTAATATTCTTAAAATGGCCATACTGCTCAAAACAATTTACAGGTTCAATTCAATTCCTATCTAAATACAAATGTTACTTTTCACAGAATTAGGAAGAACACCCCTAAAATTCAAATGGAACCCAAATAGCCAAAGCAGTCATAAGCAAAAAGAATAAAGCTGAAAGCATCATATTACCTAACTTTAAAGTATGTTACAAGGCTATAGTATCCAAAACAGTATGATAGTGGTATAAAAATAGACACGAAACTGGAACCAAGTCTCTCTCCATATAAAAAAATTAACGCAAGATGAATTGAAGGCTTAGATTTAAAACCCAATACTACAAAAAATTAGAACAAAATGTAGAAAAATAATTCTGAACATTGGAATATGCAAATAATTTATCACTAACACCTCAAAAGTGAGTGTAATAAAAAGAAAAATAGACAAAAGGGACTTAACTAAACAAAACAGCTTCTGCACAGCAAAAGAAATAGCAAAATAAAGAGAAAACCTAGAGAATGGGAGAAAATATTTGCAAATTATGCATACAACAAAGGAGTAATATCCAGAATCCACAAGGACCTCAAACAACTCAATAAGAAAAAAAAAAAAAAACATTTAAAACTGGCATGGATATGAACAGACATTTCTCAAAAGAAGACATACAAGTGGCCAACAAACAAATAAAAAAATGCACCATATCACCAATAATAGATAAATGCAAATTAAAACTACAATGAGATGTTCTCTTCTGCCAGTCAGAATGGCTATTACTAAAAAGTTAAAAAAAAAACAGCAGATGTTGGTGACGATGCAGAGAAAAAGAATGCTTATAAACTTTTGATGGGAAGGTAAAATTAGTATGGAGATTTTTCAAAGAACTATAAATAGAACAATCTAGCAATCCCACGACAGGGCATCTACACAATGGGAAAATAAATCATTATATCAGAAAGACACCTGCACTAGTATGTTGATTACAGCACTATTCGCAACAGCAAAATCATGAAATCAATCTAAGTTTCCATCAATGATTGATTGGATAAAGAAAGCAGGGTATAAATACATATATACCATAAAATGCTACTCAGCCACAAAAAATAATGAAATCATGTCTTTTGCAGCAACATAGATGGAACTGGAGGGCATTATCTTAATTGAAATAACTGAGAAACAGAAAATTAAATGCTGCATGTTCTCACTTATGAGGGGTAACTAAATAATGTGTCCATAGGGACATATAGAGTGAAATAATAAACACTGGATGCTGCAAAACGTTGGAGTTTGGGAGGTGGATGAGGGGTGAGAAATTACCTATTGGGTACCATGTACACTATTCAGATGATGGTTACAGTAGCAGTGCAGGAACAGCCCAGACTTACCACTGTGCAATACATACATGTTCAAAAATATTCTTGTACCCCTAAATCTAGGAAAAAAAAATAAAATACGTACTTTTTAAATGAATGTAAGACTCAAAGCAATCTACAGATTCAATGTAATCCCTATCAAAATACCAATATAATTTTTCACGGAATTAGAGAAAACAGTTCTAAAATTTCCGTAGAATTAAACAAGACCCCCTGAGAAACAAACAACCCCATTTAAAACTTGTAAAGGATATAAACAGACATTTCTAAAACTAATCTTTTGTTGCCAATTGCCTAATAATTCTGTATTTCCACAATATTTAATTATGAATAAATTCCTGAAACAATGCTAATTTACCCAGCTTTATTTTCCTATTGTTGTGCCTGAACTTATGATGGTAAAAACAAAAATATTAACTTGAAAATTTTACCTCTGTATATTTATCACAAACACTAGTAAGTACTAATGTTTTTCTATAGTTAAAAAGTATATTAAAATATGTAGGCATAAAGTATATTAAAGTATATGTAAGCAAGAGCATATTAAAATATATAAAAATACACTTTAAAAAACATATATAAATGTATATGTATATTCTAAACATATGTATGATATAAATATAATATATGAGACATGTTTTATATTTAGATCCAACTTATACCTGTGTTAGATAGCATCAAATAATCTTAAAACTGGGACATAATATGCATATTAAATTCCATAGTTTGATAATTACTCCATTTTAAAACTGATTTTAAAATTATATTTAATGAGATAGGGAAAAAGTTAACTAATACTTTAACATCTGCAGAATTCAGGCAGATTCTACAAAACAAGTTTTTTGTAGTTGTTGTTTACCAACTGAGTTTATGGTGGAATCACCATCTAAAATCCTTTATCTGTACTTTTTTATTTTATCTTGCAATTATGTCAGGACATTCTGCACCAGCAGACACTCATCACTGGTTAAACTTGTTACAGTTAATCAGATTTACTTCACTTTATCTTTGCAAAATAATCACATTACGTTCCTTTCAAGGGCTTGTCACCTTGAAAGGAAGTATGTTTCCATTCAAGAACTATGTTTTTGATATTCATAAGAAAGTTGAATAGCAACGTTTTTCTCCAAAATTAAAGATTGGTCAATAATATTTTTGAGAGCCACAAAATCATATGCAATGTACCATAAATGCAGCATCCTTTTATATTTATTATATATTCATAGTATTAATTATTCAACAGTAGATGAATAAACCTTATTTTTCTTCTAAATATTAACATCACAAAATTTCAGAAATATATTTTGATGTTAAAAATATGTTGTTTAAAATTTCTATCTGTGTCAAAGTTACCTTACTTGTGCTTATACCTGCTTTGTAAAATGCCTATCTCTCAGGGATGCTTTGTAAATTAGTGAACTCAATATGAGCAAAGCACTAGGACATTTCAAATACTGTAAGTGTGATAGTTTATTTTCTTCTTACATATTAATCATAACAAAGAAGGGAAAAATATAGCACTCATGAGCACTTTATTGAAAAATTTCACAGGAAGTTTCCTCTTTATATTTATTTTTAGACCAATATTTTCAATACTATTTCTAAATTGCTATTCTACATCCTTTAAATATTACAGTGTATAATGTTGGTTAATCTGATAAACTGATTCATGTCAAAATGGCATAGCTGCTACTTGTCTCAGGTAGCATATTTGCATTTTAACTAGAACCTTCACAATATGCAGTCATCAATATTACAGAAAAACCTGCCAGCGTGTGGCTTACGGCTGTAATACCAGCACTTTGGGAGGCCGAGGCAGGTGGATCACCTGAGGTCAGGAGTTCGAGACCAGCCTGGCCAACATGGAGAAATCCCATCTCTACCAAAAATACAAAAATTAGCTGGGCATGGTGGTGCACACCTGTATTCTTAGCTATTTGGGAGGCTGAGGCAGGAGAATTGCTTGGAACCTGGGAGGCGGAGGTTCCAGTGAGCAGAGTTCACACCATTGCACTCCAGCCTGGGCGACAGAGGAAGACGCCGTCTCAAAACGAAGAAATAAACAAAACACAACAACACCTGTGACAGGTTTGTAAAGAATAACGTTGTGATAGTAAACTTCAAAAATATCCCCTTCACAGCTGCCTGATTTCTTAAAGTATTACTGTATATTGCCTTCATTTTAATTTAGAGAACATCATCCCACAAGATAAATGTTAAATTTGTCTCCCACTCATAAGTGCATTAGATAACCTCAATATCAACACAAAATACAAAGTAAAAAAAGAAAATAAGATTTAATCTTCTTAGGGGAAGAGTGTGGTATAAGTATGGTACCTCTTCAGCTGTTTAAGACTAATAGCCAATATGATGGTATATGAAGGTGGGACATCTGGGAGATAATTAAACTGTGAGACTGGAACCCTCATGAACAGGATTAGCGCCCTTATAAGAAGAGGCACTAGAGGAATTATATCCTTCTCTACAATGTAAGGATACAGCAAGAACACAGCCACCTGCCAACCAGGAAATGTGCCCTCCCTAGACACTGGATCTGCTGGGTTTGCTGGCACTTGATTTGGGACTTCCTAGCCTCTGAAACTATGAAAAACACATTTCTGTAGTTTATGCTACTCAGTATATGGTATTTTTGCTATAATTGCCTGAAGTACCTCAGGCATTTATCAACACCAGTTAACCTCCACTATTATAAGAAACATAAACAAACAAACACTAAAAGGAGAACACCTGTGAGGCAGAATCCTATTAAAGTCCTCATTTAAAAGCAGCATATCGATGATATAGGTCCAGTTAATTAAGCTAATGTGAAGGGGAAAATACTAACTTCAGAACTTTGTTTTAGCCTGGGCACAAGATAGATCTATCTATTTAGTTTTTCTCCCTGATGTTAGCTGCATGAGAGAATTATATGAAGACATATAATGACTTCCTTCGTTTTCTCCTACACCACTGACAGAAGTATTTGGAACGCTGTCTATTCTTGACTTACTTGACCATGAATCAGCATTGAACACCTTGGCCTTCATATTTATACAGGAAGCCTAAATAATCCAAAATGTACTGATTTCAAGCTAGATCTTCAGCGCTCCAAATACCAGTAGTCAGAAAATTGCTTGCTTTACTAACACTATTCACAGACAAATATGAGCAATGCCCACAGATCCCAAGTTCTTCCTCTAGCTAATCAGCCCTTACTCAAGTTACAAATGGTCCTACTTTCCAAGTTTTAAGAAATAGATTCCAAGGAAGAGGCCTGCTTCCCCTAGGAAGTCATAAGAAATAATTCCTTCATGTTTGTCTTACTTCTAAACGTAACATCTGAAATCTAATCACCTTTGATAATCCATCATCACCCAGACTTTCATCTTCCTTGTTTATTTCATACCTCCTATTTTATTCAATATTCTTGCCCTCTTTGACTCCCATAATATTTTCAACTGTGTCTTCTGAAAGTCATGGTATGTCCCCAAGCAAAATCATGTTTTAATCCAATCCTGGACTGTGAGGATATTGTCTTCCCTGAAGTCCTTTAAAATCTAGACTGCTATTCTCCCATGCCCCATTACATATTCTAATCACCATTTCTAAACTATTTCTAACTATTTCTAAACTATTTCTAAACCATTTCTAAACTATTGTCCCTTTCACTTACATAAAGGACCTCATCTTTTCTTATTTTTTTCCATCAACACATACTATTCTCTAACCCTTTATGTTGAAGAAAATTTCCAAATCCTCTACTGTTTTGCTAAAAAAAATATAATATGCCTCTTCTATACCACTACTATCATTATTATTTACAGAATCACCTGATTTAAACAATAAAATCTTTAAAATACATGTTACATTTTTTTACTAACTTAACAAAATAACAAACACTCATATGTTGCTATATATTTATCAAAGTGGAAATACAGAAACATCTGGGTGTTTTTACACATACATTTTATATATATATATACACACACACATTATATATATATATATACACACACACACACAAATATAAAACATAAGCAATATATGACATATTTATGTCTACTCTGATATATATAGAGTTGATATGAAATAATATATATAGTATGATATATATATCTCAGAGTAGAAATACAGATAGAATGCATATAGATAGATGCATAGATAGGTATTGCATTTTATCTATTCTCAATCAGTAAAGTGCAATGTAACAGCTGATTTATATGGAAAAAGGTATTACAAGTGAGGATAATTTAATAATGAATAAATTGAGATAAGAAATTGTAAGTTGTGTTCAATAGGATTTTTCTTGAAGAATAGTGTATAATGTAAAAATGGAAATGTGGACAAATTGATGGAAAATTAAGAATCATTATTAATTTATCTTTTTAATAATGCATAAAAGTCCTTCTGAATTTTGTGGTAAACTTTTTAGTGAAAAAATCATTTTCTGGTACTTCTAAAAGAAATACGATAGGAAATAGGGACAGTAGTGTGAGTCTTCAAGTGTAGAATGTACTTAATTCCTAAATTTTATAGTCCAAAGGAAGTTAGAAAAGGTCTTGTAATGTTTTATACAACCATGTCTCAATTTATAAATATTTAATTTTGATTTGATTTCTACTGCTGGAAGTTCATCTCTTTGATTTTCAATAATGGTTCATAAAGAGATATAATAATAGACTTAAAGTTTTAGAATGTTGTAGGGAAGATAGAGGGAGGGTTTTGCCATAAACTGAAACTTCATTACAGCTTTATTTTCATACCGAAACTAGGCATTCAGTTTTTTAGATAATAATAGTGATAGCAATAGATATGTACTGTTTATTTTCCCAACTAGACAGCTGGGATAGTTAGATAGAATGGATAGCTATTACTATTCATTGTTATTACTACTATTATTTAAAAAAAAACACAAAAGAAATACAAAATGTGACTAAGGTCAGATTCTGAAATGTTTGTAATGAGTTTGAATGAAGATTTCACATGCCCAAAAGAGTAATAATAAAAATTAAAATATGTAAGAATATACAGGAAATAAGAAAGGAAAAGAGTATGGAGAGTATTTTGTTGACAGATGAGGCAACAAGGATGAAAGTGCTATGGGGAAGCAAGAGACATTGGAGTAAACCCTATTTATGATTAAACATAGAAAGAAATATCAAAATAGAAATACAAATTGATTAAACTATTCTGACATGGTTACAAAGTATCAATTCCTGAAACATAAATACAGTTGGAGATAATTTAAAAATTTTGAAAGATGTAATATTTTATGAAAGGGTAAGTTGCATTTATCCATACAATAAAATGGTCTATTTTCTTCAAATTTAGTCAGACAAACAAGAAAATGGCAGGTGTTGAATTATTTGGAAAAATGTAAAATAAATTAAGAATGGGCTGAAGGATACAGACTTGTTTTTTCCTTAAATATTGTAATTTTGTGCATCTGTGCTCTTATGAGAACTCTGTAAGAAAGATGGGCAATAAACCACCTTTATTTTTCTATGAATAAGCTTTACTTGGATAGCAGCAGAATCAGTTAAACTGAAATGAGTGAAGGAACAGCATAGCTATTTAACATTCTCTGAATTTTTCATATGTGTTAAATTATTTAGTGTTTAACAAAATGTGCATGTTAACATGATGAGTTTATATGGCTTTTTATTGAACTTGATGCACCTAGTACGTTATTTTTACAGAATAAATATTTTATAGTTTTGCTGTAATCTATTTTTCCACAAGGGCATTGATTCATACTATCAAAAATCCAATAAGTCTAGGTTTGTGATAATTTTCTCTTGTTAAATGCAAATGTCAGAAGCATTGCTTTTACAGAGATACATGTGCTTTATGTATCGGTTAAGTATTAAAAATTATTTACGTTTTGAAGGTATTTCTTTTAAATCAAAAGTAACAAGCTCAGACATTTAAAAGTTTATACTATACAGACAGAGACTCTATATTAGCTTAGGTAAATACACAAAAATTACACTGAAAGTAAATACTAAAAAATAAGCATTTTTGAAATACAGCAGAAAATAGCAATTTACCTGATGGTAAATAGACTCTTGAGAACCCATTATGTGATAATCTAGATAAGTTTTAGTGAAGTTACTTTCAAGTAAATTTTTGTATGAGGATTTTTTAATTTATTGCCTTCATTTTGTAGGAAATCAAAATTATGATCTTACAACCATAATTTTCCTGTTTGGGTAATTAAGTTAATTTAAGCATCAATCAGAACAGAAAGCCATCAAAAAGCTATTTCTACTAGATATTGCAATTATAGAATATTGAAGGCACATCTTTAAATATTATCTAGTTTAACTACCTCACTACAGAGAGAGAAACAGGGAAAGGTAATGGCCAGCTCCCCATTAATGTTAAAAACCGAAATATAATATTTCTAAAATGTAATTTAATTGTATAGATCATTTTTAGATATCTTACTTATTTTCATTAATTAGAAGACTAGTGAGTATACCACGCAGTGCTCTGGTCTCTGGTTTTACAGCAGTTAACAAAAGAAAAAGCATTACTGGACGAGCCTGGTGGCTCACGCCTGTAATCCCAGCACTTTGGGAGGCCGAGGCGGGCAGATCATGAGGTCAGGAGATCGAGACCATCCTGGCTAACATGGTGAAACCCCGTCTCTACTAAAAAAAATACAAAAAAATTAGCCGGGCGTGGTGACGGGCGCCTGTAGTCCCAGCTACTCGGGAGGCTGAGGCAGGAGAATGGCGTGAATCCGGGAGACGGAGCTTGCAGTGAGCCGAGATCGCGCCACTGCACTCCAGCCTGGGCGACAGAGAGATACTCCGTCTCAAAAAAAAAAAAAGCATTACTAACTGATATGGTTTGGCTGTGTCCCTGCCAACATCTCATCTTGAATTGTAGTTCCCATAATCCCCACGTATCGTGGGAGGGACCAGGTGGAGATAATGGAATCACGGGTCAGCTGCGTGATAGTGAGTTACGCCTCACAGGACTTGATGGTTTTATAAGGGGCTTCCCTCTTCACTGGGCACTCATTCTCTCCCCTGCTGCCTTATGAAGACGTGCCTTTTGCTATGACTGTTAAGTTTCCTGAGGCCTCCCCAGTCATGTGGAACTGTGAGTCAATTAAACCTCTTTTCTTTATAAATTACCCAGTCTCGGGTATGCTATGAAGAAATCTTCATAGCAGCATGAGAATGGACTAATACAGTAACTCACTGCATTTATCTTCTACTTGGGAAAATAAACATAAGCAAATACAAATAAGTCAATAGATGGAATGTGAGATGGTAAGAAGTTCTACAGGAAAAAAAACTCAGCAAAGGCCAATAAGTCTAGTGCAGCAAACAAGGTATTGCTTTAGATTAGGGTATGCCTTTTTGAAGTGGTGATATTAAATAATGATCTGAAAGCAACAAAGAAGACAGCCATGTAGAGTATCAAGGGGAAAATACTTTCAAGAAGAGAAAATTATATGTACAACGACCATAAGACAAGAGTGTTATTAGCGTGTATAAAGAATCACATTGCATGGTAGCTGCATTCTTGGACCTGAAAGAACAGGGAGGAATGTAGTAGCAGATGAGGCAGAAGTAACACCTGGACCATCTAACGTGCCCTGTCTTTATTTTGGATAAGATAAAAGTCTATACTTTTTTTTTTTTTTTTTTTTTTTAACACAGAGGAAGTGACTGAACTTTTCAAAAGGCTAATTCTAGCTACTGTTTTGAGAGTCACTGTAGAAGGACAATAGCAGAAAGAGGGACAGGAAGCTATTGTGGGTGTCATCTAAACCACTGGACATCCACGTCTGAAATTCCAAGAGGAGATCTTCAGAAAAATGATGCATAGGACTAATAGGGATTAGAGGATATTTACAACCATGAGATCAATAAAAATCTCAGGCAAGTAGGAAGTATAGACAATGAAACAAAGAGGATTGAGAATTGAGCCTGGGGCATACCATATTTACAGACTGGGAGATAGAGAAGGAATAAAAAAAAAGCTGATGATGAAGGAGCATTCAAAGAAACGAGAGAAAGTATGGTATTGAAAACCAAGTGGAAAAAATGACATGAGTAATTATGTGTGCCACAGGCTCTAGATAATTCAATTATGAGTCCTGAATATTAATTATTAGAGTTAACATCCAGGAGATTTTTGTTGGCCTTTACTAGAGGTGTTTTGATATAACAGTAGAAATAAAATGTGTCTGCACTAAGTTCAGGAAACAATTAGAGGAGTGAAATTGGAGACAGAGAGTACAGACTGCTGTACTAAAAAGCACTGATGGAAAGAAGGCAAAAAAATGACAGTAGCAATAAAAGTATTTAAAGTAAAGAGAGTTTCTCTCTCCTTTTTCAATGTGGGACAAATTGGGACATGTTTACGTGCTTTGGCATAATATATAGTAAATGAAGAAAATTAATGATCTTGAAGGAAATTAGACAAATACTGGAGCAATGGCTTTGAGTAGGAGATAAGTGGTAAGAGCACAGTGATTATTTGGTCATCCTAGTAGTCTCTGAAGTGGGTAGAATTATCTCATCGTAACAGGGTATTCTGGCTGCTAAAGATGAGGCTTAGACATTACATCATTGACTCAACTCCTTCCACCATTGCTTTAATCCTTATCTGTTTAAATGCATTGCTATAAAAAGTGACATTAATTTTATTATTGTTATCCTTATTATTATTTTCATTTTAGTTGGAGACTAGACAGGATTGAGAATGTACAGACAATGGAGGTGATGACAAAGATTTTATAGCCCACCAGGACTGTTTCCTTAGTGATCTGAAGGAGGGGTCAGAACACAAGGAGCTAAAGGAACAGTGAAATCTAAAACAGAATTGGGTCTAATAAGGAATTGAGTTAAAGAGATTAGGAGAGGGTCCTTCTCCCTACTTTTCCACAAACACAAACCCTGTCCTTAGAACTGCAGAATCAATGACATTGGAGAGAAAATTAATCACCAAAGTTTTACAAAAATCATTCATCATTTAATAAAAGCCTCTCACAGACATGACAATTTCTACAAGATTTTTAGAGAGCTAATATTAAAAAAGAAAAAAAGAGCACAATGGTAGTTGGGGCGGGGGCAGGAATCTGACAGTCCCTATATAGTGGTACATTTGTAACCACATCCTAAATGCCCTTTGACTTGCATTACATATAGTACTGCAAAGTCCAAAAGAAAGGGATATGAAGCTAATCAGCAGAAAGGCCCTCACCATTGTCCTAGCTTCTCAATCCCTAGTACTTTTTCTAGTACAAAAAACAATCATACCACCTAAGACATTTTATTTTATTGTATGGTTTTGCTTGTCTTTCTTGTAATATTTGGCAGCCTTAAGTATCTCCTGCCTATATCTGTCACCACCATTTCTTCCAAGTTTGATGATACATTAAGCCATGCTCATGATTCTAGAACATGTCTCATTTTTTATTTGATGATTTTTTCTTTCATTCACTAAATATCTAGTGATCACTTACCATGGGTTATATTCTTACTTAGACATAAGAGATAAAAACGGTGATCAAAGTCAGAGTATTGAAAAAGTTACAATTCTTCAAAACAGAGATCAGATTGTGCAAAGACTGCAGGAGGGGACATAGCACACTCAGGAAATTAAAAGCCAGTGTGCCTGTAATGTTGAGAGGAACAGAAAGCATAAGGAAAATAGTTAGAGTCTAGAAAATTAATAGAGATACAGGGTGTTAAAACCTACCTAATCATGGTGTATTTCCTTTTGATATGCTGTTCAATTTGGTTTGCTAGTATTTGGGGGAAGATTTTTGCATCGATATTTATCAGGCATATGAGTTTGTACTTTTCGTTTTTTTGTTGTATTTTTGTCTGGCTTTGGTTTCAGGGTGAGACTGGGTTTTATTCCAGGAAGGTAAGGATGGTGCAACATATGAAAATTAACAAATGTGATTCGTCACGTAGAATTAAGGACAAAAAACATATGATCATCTCAATAGATGAAGAAAAAGCATTGATAAAATTCAGCGTATCTTCATGATAAAAACCTGCAGCACTGAAGAACTATACCTCAAAATAATAAAGGTTGTAGATGACAAACTGATAGCCAACATCATACTGAACGAGGAAAAGTTGAAAGCAGTTCCCATGAATACTGGAACAAGACAAGAATGCCGACTTTTACCACTCCTATTCAACATAGTAGCAGAATTTCTAGCCAGATAAATCAGGCAAGAGAAAGAAATAGAAGGCATCCAAATTGGAAAATAGGAAGCCATATTATCTCTGCTTGCTGATGATATGATGTTGTACCTAAAAATCCAGAAAGACTCCTCCAAAAATTATTAGATTTGATAAATTAATTCAGTAAAGTTTCAGGATACAAAATTAATGTACAAAAATCAGTAGCATTTCTTTATACCCCTAAAGACCAAGCTAGGACCAAATCAAAAGGCAATTTTATTTACAATAGTTACAGGAAAATAAAACACCTAGGAATATATTTTATCAAGGAAGTAAAAATATCTGCTCAAGGGAAACTACAAAACACTGATGAAGGAAATTATAGGTAACAAACAAATGGACAAACAAATTATAGGTAACACAAACAAACACTTCCCATTCTCGTGGATCAGAACAAATAATATTGTTAATATGACCATACTGCCCAAAGCAATTTACAGTTTCAATGCAATCCCTATCAAAATACCAATATCTTTTTTCACAGAATTAGAAAAACAGTCCTACAATTCATATGGAGTCACAAAAGAGCCTGACGAACCAAAGCTATCCTAAACAAAACAAGCAAAAATGGAGGCATAACATTACCTGACTTCAAATTATACTATACAACTACAGTAAGGAAAACAGCATGGTAGTAGTACATAAACAGACACATAGACCAATGGAAAAGAATAGATAACCCAGAAGTAAAGCCACATATGTACAGCCAACTAATCTTTGACAAAGTCAATAAAAACATACACTTGGTAAAGGACATTCTTTTCATTAAATGGTGTCAGGAATATTGCCAAGTGCAAAATAATAAAACTGGACCCCTATCTCTCATTATAGACAAAAATCAATGCAAAATGGATCCAAAAATTAAATGTAAGATCTGAAACTATAAAAATCTTATACAAAAACCTAGGGAACACACTTATGGACAATGATATAGGCAAAAAATACATGAAAAATACCTCAAAAACCAAAGCAAAAAACTAGAAACAGATAAATGAGACTTAATTAAAGAAAAAGCTTTTAATCTACAGAGTGAAGAGACAACTTGCAGAATGGCAAAAAATATTTGCAAACTATGCATTTGACAAAAGACCCATAATATTGGACCTACTATTGATTCAAAGGATACTTTTAGTTCATTGGAACTCACATATATTTGTTTCACTCCATTATTTTTCAAAACTTGTATATCTCTTTAAGAATTTGCTCAATTTCTCACTTATTAGGAAGTAATTGTGCGTTGGTGCAATTACTTTTGCACCAACCTGATAGTAATATAATTCAAAACTATTGTTAGTATGTATGTGAAACTTCATGCAAATTTTAACCGTACATTAATTAATTTCTCAATTTGGTGCAATCACTACTTCTAAAATAGCCTCTCATTATTTGGAGAATGGATACTTTCTGTGATCTAGCTAAGTTGTCCAAAAGGGAGTGACAGTCTCTTTATATGAGCCTTGTCATCACCACCCTCACTTTTCTGGTCAAAGTGAGATTGATTCATTGATGAAACACACCTTATCCTAATCAGACCAGTGGAATAATTTCCCAGAGTTTCTCAAAATAGAACCAGAAGAGTCTTCCACACAATATACATTTACACAACTCTGTAAAAATATCACATACAGACTTCCAGGGATTCTATTTTGTTGCTGAGAGAATTTGCTGATAGAATTAAGCCAACACACCTGAAGGTTTCTGAAGTCCTTGCACTAATGACAGTTGATTTTTCATGCCCCTCTGAGATTCGTGCGCTACCCCAATATTTTCTAATACAATTTATTTTAGTTTTATTCAGTTTTGCAATAAGATAATTTTATTAATGAAGTCCTAATACTATCTTTTCAGAAATTAATATTTCATAGAATAACATGTATTAAAATATTGGTTGTATATCACATTGAGAACAAAATTATTTTGGCTAGCTTTAGAATATGTGAATGCTGTCTTTGCTATTCATTCTATTATGGAGTATTTTTAATGTTGATGCAGTTTAAAAGTTGCCTATTTCCCATATTTGATTGCAAAATAAAATTGTTAAGTGCATTTTTAAATGTAATGTTCTTATTTTTACACAATCTATGGTTAAGGTAAAATGAATGAAGGAATGAATGAGGAATGAATGCTTAGTTCTACCCCTCCAGAAGCAATGATGATGAGGAAGAAGGGGAGGAGGAGAAACAGGAGGAAGAAGAGAAGGAAGAGGAGAAAGATTATGGAATCTTTATAATCTGAGTGATATATATTAATCATGAATATATTAAAAGGTATGTTTTAATTTTGGAAAATATTTTGTATAAAGTTGTGAATATTATTTTTTACTTAACCTTATATTGTAAGCTTCAAGAACTCAAAAATAAGGATTCATATAAATAAATTATATTTTTCTATCTGAAAAATTTAAATTCAAAAGAAACTTCAAAATATTTATCCTTGATAACCTCTTTGGAAAATTCAGACTAATAACCCCAATAACCTCTTTGAAAGGTGTATATACAGTCTTTAAATTTGCAAGTTATAACTTGTCACTTGTTTTCTTGATTAACTTCTTGATGTCTTTCTTAGGTTAAGTTCAACATAAGATTCACATAATTACTATCACGTATCAAGCATTATACACACAGACACACACGTAAAATATAAAATCCAGCTACTTAGCTAGTTTCTTTCATAAAGCTAATGTTTTAACTCCTACCATTGTTAGCTTTCTAGTACTTTAACTATTTTTGTGCATTACTTAGGAAGAAAAAATATATTGCTTTAGTATATAATTAGCCTTATAATATTTAACTTAAGTGATTATAGATTATTCAATTGTACTCTGAAGCCAGTAGATTTTAAAATTTATTCACAATATAATAGTATTTTATATTCATTCTAATAAGATCAATACAATTCTGAGTAGGTTAAATACAATGATGTATTATCAAAAAAAGTAAAGTTTTATTATGAAAGACATATTTTATTCTTTCACTCCAATTCTTATTTCTATTTAATTTTGTTTTACTTCTTTCTATTTTCCCATGTTAAATTTCTTTTTTGTGAAAATTGAAGTAATAAGTCCATCATTTTCTCAATGCTTCTGAGTCATTGGTTAACTAATGTGTATATTGCTTTGCCTAAATAATCTTTCTATTAATAATGTAGTTATTTATTTGACTCATTATCCAAATAATTGAGCAATAATCCACTTCATTAATTTTGATTATGAAAACAAAATCAGGATTACTTTCTTATTTTCTTTTTCTCAATTATGTGCATCATTGATCCCTTTCTATTGACAATATTATCCTACTATATTGCACTACTTATTTTTCAGGAGACTCAAACTAGCATATGCAAAATTATTAGATTCTAACACAAACTAGACTAAGTCAAGACTTTCAACCAATAAATGATATTTTATCATGGCTGAGGAATTATAAACAGGTGTCACTAATCTTTAAGAATAAGAAAAGCTAGGAACAGAGCGAGACCCCATCTTAAAAAAAAATAAGAATAAGAATAAGAAAAGCCAAGGGAAGATTTTCTTATTGTGAAAGGAAGAACTACATAAATCTGCTTCGATGCCTGCCTTCTAATTATCAGCTAATCTACTTCCAATATAAGTTATGTTATGCTATAACTTAGTGTGTGTTGATTTAATATTTTATTTACCTCATTTAGATAGCCTCCTAATATCCAGTTTGTCTCTCTAGTGTTCTTTCATCATTTTATTCACATCTAATTCACCCTGCATATTGTTAGCAGATTAGTCTAAAAATTAATAAATAAAATAAGCAAGCAAAATTTTTGATCACTTCTCTTTACTGTTTAAGCAAAAACACTACTATCAGCATCAACCAGCCAACCAGCCAACCACCCAACCAACCAACAATAAACACAAAAAGAAAGTCTCAGCTCCTAGGTTTGGTTTTCAAACACTTACAATTTTCTGTCTAAGCAACTTTTCAACCAGCTTTACTACCAATCCCTAGCAAAAACACTTACGAAACTAACCAGTTTTGCCATTTTTCTTAAGGCACAATGCCTTCTGAAAGCTCACTGTCCACACTGATATTTTATGTCCACTCAAGAACCAGCTTAAAAACCAACTTTTTAGTATGCAATTTTTGATGTGCTTTTGATCGTTTTATTCT
Organism: Homo sapiens; assembly: GCF_000001405.40. Classification (NCBI taxonomy): domain Eukaryota; kingdom Metazoa; phylum Chordata; class Mammalia; order Primates; family Hominidae; genus Homo; species Homo sapiens. The sequence goes on from NC_000003.12 coordinate 80,577,976, forward strand.
ACTTTCTAAATATTTAGCGTTCATACCACCTTATCTGATACTTCTGACTCATCAGCTGGTAGTGAGTATGCATGTCATCTTTCTTAGTTCAGAGATATTTGCAGTCACAGGTTATATGGTATAATTTTGTACTTGTAGAATGCCTGTCACGTGCATTTCATGTACTGTTAGGTAGTCTTACTGAATGCTAGTTACTGCATATTTTAAAAGTTTAGGCTATGCTAGGCTTTGGGATACAAAAGTTGAATAGAATTCTCCCCTGCAGATGTGTTAGATGCAAACAAAAACAAGGCAATTGTAACACAATTTCAAAATAATACACTTAGATACTGGTGATATGTATACTTACTGAAATGGAAAACCTGAAGAGAAATTTGTTAAATTGTATCAACAACCTTGACAATATATGTGATGTGATTCAGCAATCTTACTTCTGGGGAGAATAAAAATCAATTACAAATGAAATGTTCTTAGCATAGTTTACATTGGAGAATCCTTTCAGGTATTATAATAAGCTGAGATAATTGTAGAGTTTACCTCATTTGTTTCCTGTCTTCAAACATTATTATGTTTTGCTGATTAAAATCTAATAGCTTGTATTATCTTTGTTTAAGATATTTTACCTTTCTTTTATAGTTGTTGCAAATAGTGAGGTAATTCAGGACACTGCTTCTATATCTTGGCCAGAAATAGGAATTTGTTATTTTCACTTTTATGTAATACATAAAAGTGTATTTTCATTTTCATTCTTGTTGACCAAAACAGTCATGTCATTCTTGTTGACCAAAACAAAAGCAAAAACCTCTCTTTATCTTTGACTTCCAACAGTTTTACTATAATGTGCCTCGGTGTGTTTTTTTATATAATTATCTTGCTTGAGATTCTCTGAACTTCTTGGACATGAAATTTAGTATTTTTCATTAAGCTGGGAAAATTGTTAGCCCATATATTTTGTGTATATTTTCTTGTCTTCTCTCTATTCTGCTTCTAAAACTAAAATTACATATATATTAGGTATTTGATATTTTCCTTTCAGAATCTCTGATCTGTTTTGATTCTTTGTGTGTTTGCTTGCTTGCTTCTTTAGGTGATTCAGTTTGTGTAATTTTGATGGACCTATCCTCAACTTTACTCACTCTTTCCTCTAGTGAGTCCAGTTGTCCAGTTTGTTGATAGCTCCACTCACTGTAGAAATTCTTCATTTTTGATACCATATTTTCAACTTTTAGTATTTTGACTTTTTATAGTTTATTTTATTCTAATGAAATTTCTCACTTCTCCATCTTTACTGTCTACTTCTTTCACTATATTTTTAACACATGAATTATACTTACATTATCAACCATGTTTGATAGTTTCAATGTCTGGACATACCTATTCCTATATATGTTGAGTACTTTATCTCTTCATAAAGAGTAGATAATCCTTGCTTATTTTGTGTGTTTCATAGATTTTTATATATGCCAGATATTGTGTGCAAAATAACTATAGAAATAGAGTTAATATGTATTCTTACAAACGGATTTGCCTCTTCCTTCAGCTCTCTCCTTGGTAGGCTTGAATCAATCTAGATTGTAATTAATATTCATTTAAGTATTATTGTTGCCATAACTACGTTCAGTGTATAATATGCTTCACATTCTTTCTGTGGTTGACAGCTTCTACATTATTTTAAACATGAGGCCAAAAGTGCTAGATGATTTTTCTTATTATTCTTGCTTCATATTCAGTTTTCAGCTAGACCTGCACACTGGCTTCACAGACTTAATCTCTCCGCAAGTATTTGCCTCTCCTCATGCCAAGCAGCATCAGGTTAGTGGTGCTCTTTCTCCAGCATCAGTCAGATTTTGCTTCTTTTCCAAGAAGGATCATGGTGCTGGCAGATATTATGTTTATTCTAAGCTGCAGCTGATCACTACCTTAAACTATGTAGGGCCTGGAGCACAAATGGTTCTACTAGTACTTTTACTTTTAATCTCAGAATTCAGTAGCCTCTGCATACCTATTTCAACAAGTGGGATTTCTCGGACCTCATTCCCAGCTCTCAACCTTTCTCATGGATACTAACTGAAGGCCCACTGAAGAGGGCTAGTGAGTGGTTGTGAACTCCTCTTGTCCCTAGGACTTCCACCAGTTCAAAACTCTAATGCTAGTTTATGCTCAGTCTTTAATAATTCACTGAAATTTCAGATGTTTTATTTACTTTTATGACTGCCACTTCCTTCTTCTACGTTTTTCCAGTTATAAAAAAATGTTCACATTCCCTCTCTGTCCTCAGTGGCTTATAAGCCTTTGGAATTCAGTTCACTTGTTGCTTTGCAATCTCAGTGGATTCAAAACATGTGATTTTGTAGATTTTCCAGATTTCTCCCATTGTTAGGTTGGGAGTGACCTTGGCTTTCCTCATTCTAAACTGACGCAGAACTAGTACAAATCCAGTAAATATTGGCAGGAGTTTGGCCATTGTAAAATTTATATGATAGAGTACTAAATATTGTTGTGTCTCCTTAAAGAGTATAGGACTTCTTTCAGGCCAATTGGCAATTTTGATACTTGCATTTTATCTGGATTTTTCTGAGGCTCATTTTATGCTCTGCTAGTGAGTTGAAAAGTAGGCTTCATTCTAGGAATAATTCAGGTTTACTCAGGCTTGGTCTGTATTGCGTATCCACTAAATTCACCCAGTGTCCACTAAGTGTCCAGTAGATGTTGTTCGCTTAGGATTCTCCAAACCAGCTAGTCAGCACACTAGAATATCTTCCAGCCTAACATGAGCTCTGGAAATTGATCAGATTGTATCTCCCAAGTCATTCTTTGTCTATTTTAATGGGGTTACAGCCTACTCACTTGTTATTCATTATTGGGCTACAGATCCAAGGGTAAACACATCCGTTTTTTGGAGATGCTCTTTTCTGTGTACCTTCCTTCTGTCTGGTCTTCTACTGGGCATACTATAGGTGCATCCACCTTCTCAAACTCTGATCTTTTCCTCAACCACTGAAGCTACTAGTCTGTATCGTTATCTAAAAGCTACCTCCAGGCAGAAAGCCAAGGATATTGTAGGATTCATCAGTTTTCATTAAAGAAATTCTTTTTCTAATGAATTATTGTGTCAACGAAAAGAGTCAAACTCCGTAAAATATTTGAAGAGATTTATTTTGAGCCAAATATGAGTGACCATGGCCCATGACACAGCCCTCAGGAGGTCCTGAAAGCATGTGCCCAAGGTGGTCTGGGCACAGATTGGTTTTATACATTTTAAAGAGGCATGAGACATCAATCAAATACATTTATGAAATACATTGGTTTGGTTCAGAAAGTGGGGCAACTCAAAGTGGGGTGGGGTGGGAGGTGTGGCTTCCAGGCTATAGGTAAATTTAAACATTTTCTGATTGACAATTGGTTGAGTTTTTCCAAAGACCTGGGATAAACAGAAAGGAAATGTTCAGGTTAAGATAAAAGACTGGGGAGACCACAGTTCTTTTGAAGTCTCACAGTGGCTGCCCTTAGAGACAATAGATGACAAGTGTTTTCTATTCAGACCTTTAAAAGGTGTTGGACTCTCAGTTAATCCCTTCAGGATTGGGAGGGCCTGGAAGAAAAAGATCTAGCTATGCTAATAGAGATTTTTTACAGATGCACATTTTCCCCCACAAAGGACAGCTTTGCAGGGACATTTCAAGAGATGGCAAAGAGACATGTTTTGGGGTAAAATATTTTGATTTTTTTCCTTGTCTCATAATGTTATGCCAGAGTCAGGATGGAAACTAACTCACAATATATAGATTTAAATAAAAGCCATCTGATGAGAATTTATGGTTTGTAGGGCATGACTCCCCAGACCCTTTCGATAGAAATGTGGTCAAGATTAAAAAAAAAAAAAAAAAAAAAAAAAACTTATTCCTCAACAGTCATGTTCTGAAATTAATTGTCTTTTTTTTTTAAACAATGTACTGTATTAGTCAGGGTTCTCTAGGTGGACAGAATTAATGGAATTTATTCTAAACTAAAGGGGAGTTTATTAAGTATTAACTCATACAATCACAAGGTCCCACAATAGGCTGTCTGCAGGCTGAGGAGTAAGAAGAGCTGGTCGGAGTTCCCAAACTGAAAAACCTGGAGTCTGATGTTCGAGGGTGGGAAGCATCCAGCAAGGAGAAAGATGTAGGCTGGGAGGCTTGGCCAGTCTCTCTTTTCACATTTTTTTGTCTGCTTACATTCTAGACACTGGCAGCTGATTAGATTGTGCCCACCCAGGTTAAGGGTGGGTCTGCCTTTTCCAGCCCACTGACTCAAATAATAATCTTCTTTGGCAACACCCTCATAGACACACCCAGGATCAATAATTTGTATCCTTCAACCCAATCAAGTTGACACTCAGTATTAACCATCATATGTACTTTATCAGATTTTTAGTTGCTCATGGAGGAAGGTAAAGGTGGTGGCCAAGAACTCCATCATGGCCACAAGTAAAAGGCTTTTAAATGCTGTTATGCACTGAAATTTCCTCTTCTCTGCTGGAATTTTCTCAAGATAATTTACACATATTATGAAAGCTTTTGTTTGACCTTGCAGGTTTGCATAAATTTAAAAATTTGTCTCTTATATTCTAGTGATGTGATTATTAATCATACTTTGCTTTAATAGGAATCTTTTAAAATTTTGATAGAGTACACAATAAATTGTCAAATGAATGCCACATTATGTAATCTTTTATTTCCAGAACATTATATGTTTCTGTTTAACTTTTCATTTCATAAATGTTGCTATTTTATCTTTATAGCTTATAAAACTGTTATCTATAATTTTTAAATTTTTTTCTGTAGAATATGCAAACATTCTTTTGGTATTGATCTTTGAGAATCGGTCTATATAGATGTATGTATTTTCTCTACTACATAAAGCTTGTATAACCAATATTTTTGCATGAAAATGCAATGGCAGGAAGCCACTCATCATTTAACAAGTGAAGTCTGGCTCATGCAGGTAGTGCACTTACCTTATTAAAATGGTCCTTTAAGGCATTACTTAATCAAAAAATTGAACATATGGAGAAACGAATCTCTAGCACTTTAATTTAATTGTTACAGAAAATACTATATTAACTGCTGATCCTTTGAGAAATTCAGAAGAAGAGAAAATATTGCCTCTCCATAAAAGCACTGGCAACTTCCTATTGAGTTGGGAAAGGCAGTATATGTACCCATCCAACAAGCACTAATTTATCAGATAATTAAGTAAAAAGCTATAGGTGTTTGCATTTCAATTTGAAATAAGGCTTGATGTAATAAATCAAAAGAAAAAATCAAATAATTGCTATCTATTTAAAACATTTTTACGTTATGGAATATAGCTATTGAAGTAAACTAAAGAATGAAATCAACATATTGCTTGGTGAATTAAATTAGTACGGTGTGACACTGCGGATTATATAAAGCCTGAAATGCATTCCTTTGCTACGAAGTCAAATTAAAGGTTTCATTAGTGCCAATATGGATGCGGCTGTGTTGTTTGATTTTATGCATGTGGATATTTCACAAACTGCTATTTTATTTATATCCACATACAAGTGACCAAAAGAAGGTACAACTGAGTGTTTTACAAGTAATACATCATCAATTCCCAGAAATCATTTAGCCTTTCCTTCTCCAATTTCCTGAGAAAATTTTTGAAAGGAATAAAACTCTACACTACTCCAAATATGAATTTCTTCCAACTAAGTTTTGCTACACAACACAATTTGTCTTTGTTAGAAATACCATGCGTAGTATAATAACTTATGCTTTTATTACCAATTGTTTCTCAGACCAAATTATAAGGTGGAAAGTCAATTATTTAAATTCTGTCTTATTGCCTTTGTAATTTAGAAAGGAACAAAGAAGTGAAGAACTGGAAAATGGCAGTAAAATATCACAATTGGGAAGTATGACATGATTATCTACAGCCAGATACCAGTAATACTCTTGGTTGGCCTACATTTTACCCTCAGGATATTATGAGAGATGCTGGAAAAATTCTTAGATAAATGTAATAAGTAGTCAGCTTGGGTTAACCAAATAGAGGTGGCTGCCTTACTTGTCACTGGCATTATGTAAGATTGTATGACATGGGGATATAAGGTGAGAATTTGTCCTTTGGCAAAATCATTAGTGCAGTCTATGAGATGCCCCCTCAATTTGCAACTTACTATGTCCATCAGTAATATTTGGATTATAATATTTTCTATTTAAAAATTTCCCCAAGGATAGCAATCACCTAGTCAAAGAATCCTAACTGACAAAATTTTTTTGAGTATATGAATTTTATAATTGGAATCTAGTCTCAGAGCCTTGCCCTCAAGGAGCATTTTCAAATAAACATCCTCAATAAATTATTAGATATAGCCTGTATATTTAATCTGTATTAAGACAGATTATTACTTTCTTTTTGCACATTTTTTGTAAGCATCACATTCATGGATAAATTAATTGTGTCAATAATCGAGGGTGTGCTTACTTAATGACACTAAAATATATTTTGTTAAATTAGCAAACTGTAGCTAATAAATGGTTCACCATCTTTTTGTAAGCATCCATCTTAAAGATATAGAGATAGGAACTTAGAAAATTTTAACTTCAGGCAGATTACCCAGATCGTCAATGGTAAAATAGAAGTCTGACAGTAAAGGTTTGCTCTTAATCATTATCCCATGTTGTCTTTGATATTTTCTCAACGTTAATTTTTTTACTGAACTAAATGAGTTGTATCAAGCGGCAACTGACACAGAGTATATGCTCAATTCTGAGGATTCTATTAGTTGTTTTGCAATATGGTATTTCCCTTATTGGCTTCATGTATATTAAAAAGGGTCATTTTCTTTTTTTTAGGCAAATATACTGCCAATAAAACACATGAACAAAAGTACCAACTAAGGGGCTGCCAAGGCTCTTAGTTACCTTAATAGTCATCAGAAATCAAGGTCTGTTTTAAAACAAAATGTTGATTACCCATCAGCACAATTTTAAGATGAAGTATGAAAATAAGAAATAACTGATCCTTGCTCATATAATAGCTTCCTGGTGACATGGCATGAATCGTACCTTGTAGATCCTTTCCAACTATATTTGTGATCTTCCCTTGAAGTATTATTTGCATTTGTTGGTAATATTTTAATTAGAGAATGGTAATATAACCTGTCTTTGCATGTACTGATAATAATGATTAAGAAAAAATAGTTCAATGCAATACCATTTTCTAAAACTTTTTGAATTTATGTGTAATTAATTCAAAAAATTCTATTCTGATTGATGAGTCATATTATATTTTATGGCATTGTTGTGAAATTATAGCTTATGGATTGGAACATATTACTGCAGGGGTTTTACTGTTCTTTCCAGGAAAACTCTTGACCTTTTTATCTCTTTGTAAAACGTGTGCACAATTTTATACTTTCATTTTGTCTCGCTGTTCATATTTTATTCTCTTTTAAACTGCCTTACTTACATAAATCACTCTCTTTAGATTTGGGATTAGTAATTTCATATAAGACAGGAGCAATTTGATGGGCAATCCAATCTTATTTTTGTAAGGTTAAAAAAAGACAGGTGTCTTAGGTATCTGTCTGAACTAATTTAAATGATTGCATTTCAAGTGTAAATGAATCAAGAATCTTCCATGTTACTAAGTAACAAAATTCCTAGGCTAATCATTGTTCAGGAAATATAAATATTAATGGATGCTCTCTAGTTTCTCTTGGCCCAATGTGAATTTGTTATCCTTGATATCTACCTATTAATGTCTCCTAAATCAGCATGCTTTAATAAAAAAAAAATATAGATACTATACACACAGTAGCCATAACATTGTGGAAAGGTAAAATCAACAATATATTAATGACAATGATAGAAAAAAAAAAAGGAAACATGATGACTACAGGTATAAACTTTGGTGTCAAAAAGTAATTAACTTGATGCTATTAGCCACTTCTTAATAGCTTGGTGATATGAGACAGTTATAAATACTTTTTAAAATAATTCTTCACCACAAAATGGGTCTAATAGTGGCTACTATTAAGCTTCTATTGAGCAAGTGACACTTGTTACCACCTTCAGAGGAGAAGTCCCACTGAGGGAAAGAGAGCAAAAAGCATGGCAATGGTTATCGCCAGGAGCAGCAGTCCCAGGATGTCAAGCCACTGTGTGATATGCAAGTAAGAAGATGCATATAGGCACTGGATGGGACAATGATTTACTCCAACAGAGAGACAGCGAGGGCTCGGCTTAAACAGTGAGTATCCATCCCCTATGGCCCGTGGGTCTCATTCCACAGCCAACACAAGGAGACTATCTGCACACACCCCTCTTGTGCTGCAGGTGAGGGACCCTGTTCCCTCTCCACTGGGAACAGACATAGCAGTGAGGTTGGGCAGGTGCTATTTGATTCACATGCTTCTAAGCAAATTAAAGAAATGCACATCAAGTCCAGAATAGGGAAAGATACACTTCCAAAAGGTGATACGTCCAGCACACAACTCCTTATCTCCACATGAGAAAATGTTGCTGGCCCAAGGCAAGCTCTTACGCAACTAAGCAAGGGTCTGCAGGTTGCTCCTGACTGCTCTCCCAGCAGGTTTTTACTTTTTTTTCAACATTTAATAAACTAATGCATGGGCTATTTTACATATACTAATGGATATATATGCCATATTCTTGCCTATAAAAATATTTTTTATACATGCCCATTGTTTGAATTACTTTATAGTTTATGTGAATTTAAAATAAAATACCAGTAGTATGTTTTTGGAACTTGGAAAAATGTTTCTAAAAATTATATGACTAAAATAAATAGCAAATATATAATACATTTTCTATAAAAAGAGACAGGCTGGTCATGATAAAACATCAGTAATGGCTTAAGAATAGTGAAAGCAATGGAATGGGCATTTCCACAGGAATAAATTATCTGTATGAATGAAAAAGAGAGCATCAAATAGCATTCAAATAGCATTAAGAGAATAAAAAGGTCATTCAATGAATAACTATTCAGTAAATGTAAAAAACTATTTTATGCAAGGTAGCAAATACATTTCAGATTTATAGGTAAGTCAAATAAAATATTTCAAACATTATAAAATGGAATTAAGTATATATCAAATTCAGTATTTTCTTCCCGTTTTAAAAAATAACACCTCAAGAAAGAACGTAATAAGGATATAGCCATTGTAAATTGATTTTGCAAAAAAAAAAAGCAAACCACAGAATCAGTTACGGATAGAGCTGTTTTTCCTAGAGCTATTTTTTTCGCAGAATATCTTTGTGACCAAAAGCATGAGTTCTGACGTCTGATTGCCTGGTGTTGAATCTGAATTCACCATTTTCTTGTTTGGTGGTCACAGCAAGTGACACAACCTCTCTCTGTTTCACTTCCCATATCAATTAGATAGGAACATTAAAAGAATACCTACCTTGCAGGGAATATGTCTTAAATTTTGTGTTCAAATTACGTGTTCAAATTAAAATTCTAACACCATGCCTGGCATATTATAAGTTCTAAATGGATCTTTGCTGCATACAAAACAAAATAAGACTATAAATGTTACATATATATTTAACAAAATTATCACTTTTATAACAAAAACATGCATATATAATTAAAGATACAATTCAAATTTATATATGCAACTTATATATTAAATAAATTATTTTCACTTAAGAAATAAAAACTATCTCACCACACTCTAGTTAATTCTTTTTTATAATTTGAAAAAAGTAAGAATTTATATAAAAACCAAATAATGAGCCATTGGTCATTTCAGTTTTAATAGACGCCTGTCTCTTTTTGTTATCATTATTATATAGCATGGAATATTCCATGAAGTAGTGCATGAAGTAGGGCATGCCTATACCTTATTATTCAGATATCATACAGCTTTGAAAGTTACATGATTGGCTAATGTTTTATATTTGTGTTTTTTTTTCTCTTTGGAAACTTTTTGGGAGATTTTTCCAAATTTACATTTCAAACATTACTTTCAGTTGTTCATATCTGCCTCTGTGTATATATATGTTTATTTCTAAGAGTTCTTTTCCTTTCTCTGCATATTATAATGCTATCTTTGTCTTGTTTTTAGGATATAGTTCCTCATTTCTTCAAGAATATTATAAAGAATTTCTTCATTTTTGGGGTTTTACTTCATCTGTAGAGGTTCCTGTTGCCTTGAAGTTGCTATTTTTAATCCATCTGTTCCATTCATGTCAAAGATGTATTAAGACAGGTAATGAATTGTGTCTGTTATTTTTGTTTATTATACTTTAAGTTTTAGGGTACATGTGCACAAGGTGCAGGTTAGTTACATATGTGTATATATATGCCATGTTGGTGTGCTGCACCCATTAACTCGTCATTTACATTAGGTATCTCTCCTAATGCTATCCCTCCCCCGTCCCCCCACCCAACAACAGGCCCCAGTGTGTGATGTTCCCCTTCCTGTGTCCATGTGTTCTCATTGTTCAATTCCCACCTATAAGTGAGAACATGCAGTGTCTGTTTTTTTGTCCTTGTGATAGTTTGCTGAGAATGATGGTTTCCAGCTTCATCCATGTCCCTACAAAGGACATGAACTCATCATTTTTTATAGCTGCATAGTATTCCATGGTGTATATGTGCCACATTTTCTTAATCCAGTCTATCATTGTTGGACATTTGGGTTGGTTCCAAGTCTTTGTTATTGTGAATAGTGCCACAATAAACATATGTGTGCATGTGTCTTTATAGCAGCATGATTTATAATCCTTTGGGTATATAACCAGTAATGGGATTGCTGGGTCAAATGGTATTTCTAGTTCTAGATCCCTGAGGAATCACCACACTGACTTCCACAATGGTTGAACTAGTTTACAGTCCCACCAACAGTGTAAGAGTGTTCCTATTTCTCCACATCCTCTCCAGCACCTGTTGTTTCCTGACTTTTTAATGATCACCATTCTAACTGGTGTGAGATGGTGTCTCATTGTGGTTTTGATTTGCATTTCTCTGATGGCCAGTGATGATGAGCATTTTTTCATGTGTCTTTTGGCTGCATAAATGTCTTCTTTTGAGAAGTGTCTGTTCACATCCTTCACCCACTTTTTGATGGGGTTGTTTGTTTTTTGTTGTAAATTTGTTGGAGTTCATTGTAGATTCTGGATATTAGCCCTTTGTCAGATGAGTAGCTTGCAAAAATTTTCTCCCATTCTGTAGGTTGCCTGTTCACTCTGATGGTAGTTTCTTTTGCTGTGCAGAAGCTCTTTAGTTTAGTTAGATCCCATTTGTCAATTTTGGCTTTTGTTGCCATTGCTTTTGGTGTTTTAGACATGAAGTCCCTGCCCATGCATATGTCCTGAATGGTATTGCCTAGGTTTTCTTTTAGGGTTTTTATGGTTTTAGGTCTAACACTTAAGTCTTTAATCCATCTTGAATTAATTTTTGTATAAGGTGTAAGGAAGGGATCCAGTTTCAGCTTTCTACATATGGCTAGCCAGTTTTCCCAGCACCATTTATTAAATAGGTAATCATTTCCCTGCTTCTTGTTTTTGTCAAGTTTGTCAAAGATCAGATGGTTGTAGATATGCAGCGTTATTTCTGAGGGCTCTGTTCTGTTCCACTGGTCTATATCTCTGTTTTGGTACCAGTACCATGCTGTTTTGGTTACTGTAGCCTTGTAGTATAGTTTTAAGTCAGGTAGCATGATGCCTCCAGCTTTGTTCTTTTGGCTTAGGATTGACTTGGCGATGTGGGCTCTTTTTTAGTTCCATATGAACTTTAAAGTAGTTTTTTCCAATTCTGTGAAGAAAGCCATTGGTAGCTTGATGGGGATGGTATTGAATCTATAAATTACCTTGGGCAGTATGGCCTTTTTCACGATATTGATTCTTCCTACCCATGAGCATGTAATGTTCTTCCATTTGTTTGTCTGTTATTTTGAAAATTGGAGTACTGAAAGTTTGTTGGGAGTTTGTTGATGGGATTTCCTCTGTAGGGTGATAGTCTAGTTTTTGCCTGATGGGTGATCAGTATACTTACAGAAGAATTTTTCAGTACCCAGTATGAAAAATAACACCGTTGTGTTCATGGTTTGGAACTTGAGTGTATGAAATTGGCTGCATGTTTCAGCATCCCAGATGCTTATACTCACTTATCTTCATGTCATCTTGCTTCCACAGTCATCAACCGTGCTTGATGTTCTCCAGTCTAGAAAGCCTATTTTCATACACTCCCCAAACTCAATCTTCAGTCTCTGGCTAGAGTTGGGTAAAAGGTATTTACCAGTTTATATTTCCTCATCCAGAGTGTGAAAGAGATCTGAAGATTTAACTTTTCATTCAACTTTCACAGTCATCTTTATTTTATTCAGTAATAAGAGAACACACATGCAAATGCATGTGGAATATTCATGAAAATGACCATACATGAGTCCCAAAAATCATAGGTCTCAATAAATTTACCAAGATCTAATTTTTCAGGGTATATTTCTTTACCTAAATATAAATATTTTAGAAAATTAATATGGAACAATACCTTAAAATTCTCACCATATGAAGACACTGAACAACACACCACTAAATAACTCATGTTTCAAAGATTATTTCACAAAAAAAAAGTACTTTGTCATAAATGAAAAAAATTATAGTGTATAAAAATTTGTAAAATGTGCTAAAGTTATACTCAAAGGTTATTAATATGAGAGCTTAAAATAAATGTATTGGAGTAGAAGAAACATCTGAAATCAATGATCTGACTTCCTGCAACAGTAAGTGAGAAAAGCAAATGAATCTCAAATAAGTACAAAAAAATTATTAAAATAAAGCATAACCAATGAAGCAGTAAATGGACAAACAATGGAGAAAATTAATGAAATCAAAAGCTAGTCCTTCCAAATTATCAATAGATCTAAAATTAAAAAATTATTATAAAAAATTTTATGCCAATAAAATCAACAAAACGAGCATTCTTCAATAGATACAGATTAAAAAACTGACTGATGAGACACAAATGGTCCAATAGATACATAATAAATTCAATTTTAATAAAAAAATTCTTCCAACATAAAAAATTAGAGGTTTAGTTTATTGATCTAACTAGGAAAAAGATATATTACGAAAATAGCAAATATAATATTCTCCATTAACACAGATGAAAAAATCTTTTAAAATATTAACAAATGAAACATAAGCATATATGAAAAGGATGCTACATGCCTATCAGGAGGATAGGAATGCAAGGCTAGTTTAATTTTCTAAAAGTCAGAGTAACTGTATCATAATCTCAACAGACACAGCAAAATCATTTGACAAAATGTAACCTCCAATTATAATGAAAACTCTCAAAAAATTAGAATGAAACGCTTTTCAATCAGAGAGATGGCATCTACAAAAACCCCATTTCTAGTATTAAATATAGTGGTTTTAATTAAAAATCGGGGAAGAAAACAAAATATCCACTTTGGCTATTAAAAGTCAATATTTTCTTGAAGTTCTACATAAAAAAAATACAATAAAAAAGAAAAAGGAAGGGAAAAAAGTGATAGCATATAAACAAGAAAGAGAAAACTTAGTTTATAGAAGACGTTACTGAGTATTCTGAAATTTTAAGAAATTTTTAAAAAGTTATCAGACATAGCAAGTGAACTTAAGATCACAAGATGAAAGATCAAAATATAAAATTCAAGTATGTTTTAATGTAACAGCAATAAAATAATAGAAATTTAAAAATACAATTTAAAAGTAGCATCATTGTGGTGCATGCCTTTAATCCCAGCTACCTGGGAAGCTGAGGTATGAGAATCGCTTAATCCATGAGGCAGGGCGGGGTTGCAGTGAGCAGAGATCATGTTTTCAGGTGACCTCTGCCTTCAGTTTTAGCGTTTTGGTTTACTCATCCTCACTTGAGTTTCAAATCATTTTGAAGTTCTTTCCTTTGTTTCCCACTGAGACAAATTTGGAGTCCATCACTTATTTTTGTTCCCTGCTTTTCTTAATACCAACAACTTTTACAATGTATTTTGTATTGTATTTTGTATAATGTATTTTGTACAATGCATTTTACAATGTAATGGCAGACATTAGGCTTGCCTGAGGAATTGAACCAAAATATTTAAATCTCAAAAGTGAGGGCCACTACCACAGACATCTTGGAGAGTCTCTTCCTTGTTTCTCTCTTCATGAAGGCATAGATAAATATGTACAAAATATCCGTGTTGAATTAAGAAAAGATAAAACACGAAAAAAGGACCTATAATGTCAACAACAGTTTCCTTATTTTTTGTTGTTTAAATAAAACAGTTTTTTTGTGGTATATTTATATATGTCAAAAAATAGGCTTAACTATATTTAATATATAACATATTATATAATTATGTATTTTAGGTGCAGATTGTATATGCCATGATGAACCAATATTTTAAAACTACACAAAAATATATAGATCAATATTCAATAAACATCTATTTAAGAAGAAACACAAGCAATTATGCAGGGACAGAAACACTGAATATATACAGTCTATGTTTATCAGAAACTCATTGAAATGAACAAGGTCTTTATATTCTGAGAAAATTCATTTATGAAAGGTTTTGTTCGCATCTTATTAAATGTAAATATAGATATATTTAAATCTGTTTGATTTATGTATTCATAGATCAAATTATTCCCAAGATTTTATAAGTGTATATATGCTATCTAAATTAAATTAAATGATATCACATTTTAAGGAGCAAAAATTACCCATATTTTATTAATATAATTTAGATAATACAAATTACTGAAATTGTATTATTTTTTATTACCCATATTTTATTCATAATTACCCATATTTTTAAAATGCTTAAGTTCCTACAACTATCTTTAATGCTTTTACTCCAATCATTAAAATAAAGTTTTAATGATTAGAGTTCCTTATTATAATGAGTTTTAATCAAACTGGAAATTGAAGTGAGTGTTTAGCCATAAGAACATTTGATGCGGAAATGTTATCTTCTACAGTAGCCTTCACCACTTTTAAAAATGCCTTATCAGCTATAAAATAGTAAGGTCATTTTATATCATTGGATAAAGTAAGAATTATAAGTAACCATTCAAATGAAAACTGGACACCAATAATATTCATTAAATTAATTGAATTTTATTATGTTTGGAAAGATTTCAAGCATAATATTTAAAACTAATTAACATAAAAATTCATGTTTTCCCCACCTGATCTATAGCTCTAATATCAGGAAATATTTTGTTGCAATTAGACATTAATAGGCTAGATTAAAACTATAATAAGTAGTATTTTTGAAGAATCTATTCTAAGTAAATGATTTTGTTTGCAGTTGACAGTGATAAAATGATCAATGTTATGCTACATTTTCTGCTCCTTCACTTTTCTTTGTTGGTAAAATGAAGAATGTCAGAGATTGAGAGGGTCAAGCTCACAGCAAATTTAATATGACTTACTTTATCTCTGTTCTGAACAGGATTTCACAGTATGAAATATTAAACGTACAGAGCATGAAGAAATATTTCTTGTATTTAATAACGTTTGTAATTCCTTATTTCATTTTTTAATCATGACAAGCTCATAAAATAGACACAATCTGAACAAAAGGACTATATATGGTCTCAGAAATAAAGTTGTGGATGACTTACTTTGCTTATTTGTATCTTTGAAATTCTTGACATTTTAATTAGAGTTATAAGTTATCAATTATCATGAATATAGGTAGATATTACCCATCCATATACATAATATAATAAAACGTTGTAAACTCGTGTGCATTTTATTTGTAATTCCTATGGATAGCTGAAAAAACATACAATTGCACATGGTAAGAAATTTAGTGACATTCATAAAAGTAACTAAAATTGCTACTACTTCTGTAAAAGCAGCTTTGCTAAAACAAATTTAATTTATAAAATGAAAGAACTACAATGACTCAAACTGTGTAATTTAGAATTATTTTCAAAGGAATTTATGTAAAGTCATAATGTGAAGTCATGTTAATAAAAACATAATTAGGGATTTTTCTAATATAAAAACATCATATATATACTATATACACACTACGGAAGAAACAAATATTTTATTAATTAAGAAAGTATTTTGTCATTCATCATAATATAACTCTCCATTAAAAGAATAGACAATTAATGTAAAATGATAATTAAATCCCATCACCTCTGTTATTCTGCCAACTTTCAGATATATGATTACAAATATGTATGTGTAAGTATATGCTTTAGGTGATATATATAGAAATATATAACATCTAGCCAGGTGCGGTGGCTCACATCTGTAATCCTAGCACTTTGGGAGGCCGAGGCAGGCTGATCACGAGGTCAGGAGATCGAGACCATCCTGGCTAACGAGGTGAAACCCCGTCTCTACTAGAAATACAAAAAATTAGCCAGGCGTTGTGGCAGGCATCTGTAGTCCCAGCTACTCAGGAGGCTGAGGCAGGAGAATGGCGTGAACCAGGGAGGCGGACCTTGCAGTAAGATGAGATTGCACTACTGCACTCCAGCCTGGGCGACAGAGCGAGACTCCATCTCCAAAATAATAATAATAATACTAATAAAAATAAATATTAAAAAAATAACCGGGTGTGGTGGCATGCACCTGTACTCCCAGGTACTTGGGAGGCTGAGGCAAGAGAATCGCTTGAACCTGGGAGGTGGAGGTTGTGGTGAGCCGAGATCACGCCACTGCACTCCAGCCTGGGCAACAGAGTGAGACTCTGTCAAAAAAAAAAAGAAAAGAAAAAAAAAAGAAAAGAAATGTATAACATCTGTAAGCTGAAAATATCTAATTTGACAAATAAATAAAAAGCACATAAACCTACAAGAAACTCAGAAAACCCTAAACAAAATACCCCAAGGAAATACAGACCTGGAAAAATTACAATCAGCTGAAAATTAATGTTTTAACATATCTAAATGAAAAGAACTTATAACCCAGAATGCTACATTCAGCAAAAATATCCTTCATTAAAGAAGTTGAATGAAGGAATAAGGTTTAAAAAAAGTAAGAATTGTATGCCAGCAGATCTTTTCTAAATGAATTGCTGAAAGTGAATTATAAGAGATAAAGAACATAATTGAATAATAATAAAAGAGTTAATGTTTCAAGATGGCAAAAAACCCTATGTGTAAATAGAACAGAAGAATCTTAAAATACAGAAAGCAAAAATTAAAAGAAGTAAATAAGTCTGCAAATATATTTGGAGACTTCAACACTGAGCTTTTAATCAGTGGAACTAGTAGACAAAAAAATCAACATTCAAGAATAGAAAAGATTGATAAAAAAAGTCAACCACTTGGACTTAGTTTACATTTATGATACACTGCATTCAACAAGAGTAGAATACAGATTCTTTTCAAATACACATTCTCCAAGATAGACAATATTGTATGTAATGGAATAAACTATGATAAACTTAAAATAATTGAAATCATACCAAAAATCTTCTCTGACTGTACTCAAATTAAACTGGAAATCAATGTCATAATAACAGGAATATCATTTATCTAAAAAATTAATCAACACTACTAAATAATGCATAGAATAATAAGGAAGTTTCAATGTATATTATTAAATATTTTGATCTGATAAAAATGAAAATACAATACATAAAGTTTTATGGGATATAGCTAAAGCAGTATAGATTTGGATATATACAGCAATCTAAATATACAGTTTAGAACAGGGAAGAATACATTTTTTAAGTAATATTATCAGCTTTATAGTAAGAGAGTAGGATAACATCAGTAAAATAAACCAAAAAAATCACAGGAGAAAACAATACACATGAGAGCAGAGATTTACAAAATTTAAAATAAACAAAGAAAAATCAATGAAACAAAATTTCTTAATGGTAGCAAAAAATGGGCAAATTGCTAGTAAGATGGACAAAATAATGAGATAATAATTAACAATATTAGAAATAAAAGAGAGAATATCACTACCTGAACACTGCAGATATTTAAAGACTAGTAAGTACATACCATGAACATTTCTACCCAAATGAATTTTTAAAAACTATTAAAAATAAAGCACTTCTTGCTGCATTGATCCCTTTACCATTACAGGAGCACCTAGATTCATAAAGCAACTTCTTAGAGACCTCCAAAGAGACTTAGACTCCCACACAATAATAGTGGGAGACTCTAACACCCCACTGTCAATATTAGGCAGATCAATGAGATAGAAAATTAACAAGGATATTCAAGACTTGAACTCAGCCCTGGACCAAGCAGAACTAATAGACATCCATAGAACTCTCCACCCCAAATCAACAGAATATACATTCTTCTCAGCACCACATTGCACTTATTCTAAAATTGAACACATAATTGGAAGTAAAGCACTCCTCAGCAAATGCAAAATAATGGAAATCATAACAAACAGTCACTCAGACCACAGTGCAATCAAATTAGAACTCAAGATTAAGAAACTCACTCAAAACCGCACAACTACATGGAAACTGAACAAGCTGCTCCTGAATGACCACTGGGTAAATATCGAAATGAAGGCAGAAATGAAGATGGTCTTTGAAACCAATGAGAATGAAGACACAAGGTACCAGAATCTCTGGGAAACATTTAAAGCAGTGCGTAGGGGGAAATTTATAGCACTAAATGCCCACAAGAGAAAGCAGGAAAGATCTAAAATTGACACCCTAACATCAAAATTAAAAGAACTAGAGAAGCAACAGCAAACAAATTCAAAAGCTAGCAGAAGACAAGAAATAACTAACGTCAGAGCAGAATTGCAGGAGATAAAGACACAAAAACCCTTAAAAAAAATCAATGAATCCAGGAGCTCGTTTTTTGAAAAGATCAACAAAATAGACAGTTAACCAGACTGATAAAGAAGAAAAGAGAGAATAATCAAATAGATGCAACAAAAAATGATATAGAGGATATTAACACTGATCCCACAGAAACACAAACTACCATCAGAGAATACCATAAATACCTCTATGCAAATAAACCAGAAAACCCAGAAGAAATGGATAAATTCCTGGACACATACACCCTCCCAAATCTAAAACAGGAAGAAGTCGAATCCCTGAATAGACCAATAACAAGTTCTGAAATTGAGGCAGTAATTATTAGCCTACCAACCAAAACAAGTCCAGGATCAGACGGATTCACAGCCAAATTCTACCAGAGGTACAAAGAAGAGCTGGTAACATTCCTTCTGAAACTATTCCAAACAATGGAAAAAGAGAGAATTCTCCCCAACTCATTTTATGAGGCCAGCATCATCCTGATACCAAAACCTGGCAGAGACACAACAAAAAAGGAAAATTGCAGGCTAATACCCCTGATGAACATCGATGAGAAAATCCTCAATAAAATACCGGCAAACCGATTCCAGCAGCACATCAAAAAGTTTATCCACCACGATCAAGTCGGCTTCCTCCCTGGGATGCAAGCCTGGTTCAACATAAGCAAATCAATAAACGTAATCCATCAGATAAACAGAAGCTATGACAAAAAACACATGATTATCTCAATAGATGCAGAAAAGGCCTTTGATAAAATTCAACACCCCTTCATGCTAAAAACTCTCAATAAACTAGGTATCGATAGAATGTATCTCAAAATCATAAGAGCTATTTATGGCAAACCCACAGCCAATATCATACTGAATGGGCAAAAATTGGAAACATTCCCTTTGAAAACTGGCACAAGACAAGGATGCTCTCTCTCACCATTCCTATTCAACGTAGTATTGGAAGTTCTGGCCAGGGCAATCAGGCAAGAGTAAGCAATAAAGGGTATTCAAATAGGAAGAGAGGAAATCAAATTATCTCTGTTTGCAGATGACATGACTGTATATTTAGAAAACCCCATCGTCTCAGCCTAAAATCTCCTTAAGCTGATAAGCAACTTCAGCAAAGTCTCAGCATACAAAATCAATGTGCAAAAATCACAAGCATTCCTATACACCAATAACAGACAACCAGAGAGCCAAATCATGAGTGAACTCCCATTCACAATTGCTTCAAAGAGAATAAAATACCTAGGAAAACAACTTACAAGGGATGCGAAGGACCTCTACAAGGAGAACTACAAACCACTGCTCAAGTAAATAAGAGAGGACACCAACAAATGGAAACACATTCCAAGATCATGGATAGGAAGAATAAATATCATGAAAATGGCCATACTGCCCAAGGTAATTTATAGATTCAATGCCATCCCCATCAAGCTACCAATGACTTTCTTCACAGAATTGGAAAAAACTACTTTAAAGTTCATGTGGAACCAGAGAAGAGTCTGCATTGCCAAGAAAATCCTAAGCAAAAAGAACAAAGCTGGAGGCATCAGACTACCTGACTTCAAACTATACTACAAGGCTACAGTAACCAAAACAGCATGACACTGGCACCAAAACAGATATATAGACCACTGGAACAGAACAGAGCCCTCAGAAATAACACCACACATCTACAACCAACTTATATTTGACAAACCTGACACAAGGAAGCAATGGGGAAAAGATTCCCTATATAAAAAATGGTGTTGGGAAAACTGGCTAGCCATATTCAGAATACTGAAACTGGACCCCTTCCTTAAATCTTACATAAAAAGCAACTTAAGATGGATTAAAGACTTAAACATAAGACCTAAAACCATAAAAATCCTAGAAGAAAACCTGGGCAACACCATTCAGAACATAGGCATGGGCAAAGACTTCATGTCTAAAACACCAAAAGCAATGGCAACAAAAGCCAAGATTGAGAAATGGGATCTAATTAAACTAAAGCTTCTACACAGCAAAAGAAACTATCATCAGAGTGAACAGACAACCTACAGAATGGGAGAAAATTTTTGCAATCTATCCATCTGACAAAGGGCTAATATCCAGAATCCACAAAGAACTTAAACAAATTTACAAGAAAAAAAAAACAAACGACCCCATCGAAAAGTGGGCAAAGGATATGAACAGACACTTCTCAAAAGAAGACATTTATGCAGCCAACAAACATATAAAAAAATGCTCTTCATCACTAGTCATTAGAGAAATGCAAATCAAAACTCTAGTGAGATAGCATTTCACATCAGTTAGATTGGCAATCATTAAAAAGTCAGGAAACAACAGATGCTGGAGAG
Source organism: Homo sapiens (assembly GCF_000001405.40). NCBI lineage: Eukaryota > Metazoa > Chordata > Mammalia > Primates > Hominidae > Homo > Homo sapiens. Next base: position 80,599,095 of record NC_000003.12, read on the forward strand.
GATATGGAGAAATAGGAATACTTTTACACTGTTGGTGGGAATGTAAATTAGTTCAACCATTGTGGAAGACAGTGTGGTGATTCCTCAAGGATCTAGAACTAGAAATGCCATTTGACCCAGCAATCCCATCACTGGGTATATACCCAAAGGATTATAAATCATTCTACTATAAAGACACATGCACATGCATGTTTATTGCGGTACTATTTACAATAGCAAAGACTTGGAACTAACCCAAATGCCCATCAATGATAAACTGGATAAAGAAAATGTGGCACACATACACCATGGAATACTATACAGCCATAAATAAGGATGAGTTCATGTCCTTTGTAGGGACATGGATGAAGGTGGAAATCATCATTCTCAGCAAACTATCACAAGAACAGAAAAACAAACACCACATGTTCTCACTCATAGTGGGAGTTGAACAAGGAGAACACACGGACACAGGGAGGGGAACACCACACACTGGGGCCTGTCGGTGGGTGGGGGGCTAGGGGAGGGATAGCATTAGGAGAAATACCTAATGTAGGTGACAGGTTGATGGGTGCAGCAAACCACCATAGCACATGTATACCTATGTGACAAAACTGCACATTCTGCACAAGTACCCCAGAACTTAAAGTATAACTTAAAAATTAAAACAAATAAATAAAATAAAAATAAAGCAATTTTTCAGAAAACAAAAAATTTCAAAACTCACCCAACAAAAAGAGATAATCTGAATATTTCTATAACTCTTAAATAAACTTAATTTTTAGTTCAAAATCTTTAAAAATAATCTTTAGGCCCAGAAATACTTTCACATGAGTTTCAGAAGACAAAATAATGCCAAATTTACACATTTCTTTTGGACAACAGAGGGAAGTGAACACTTCCCAAATCATTTTTCGAAGCCAGTCTTATCCTGACATCAAAACCAGGCAAAAAGAGAACAGGAAGAGAAAACTGGAAGCAATTATCTTTCACGAATATAGATGCAAAAGTTATGAGAAAAATGTTAACAAATCAAAGTTGTATATTATACACACATATATATATAAATATATGCATATACATATATACAGATGCAAACACACACATACAAACATGTAATGGCCAAGTGAGGTTTATACTGCCAATGGAAGGTTGGATTCATATATGAAGATAAATCAATGCAATACACCATTAACAGCCTAAAAAAAATCAATGTATCATATTAACTGATGCAGAAAAAATAATATTCATTGTACCTCAATAATAAAACTCTCTTCATGGTAAGAATAGAGAAGACATCTTCTACCTAGTAAAAGATATCTACCAAACAAAACAAAACAAAAAGCAACCACAAAAACAATTACAGCTAACATTTTACTGAATGGTGAAAGACAATGCAACTTCCCACTCATGATTAGAAACAAGGCATGTGTATCCATTCTCAACATTTCTAATCAGCATCATACTGGAATGTCCTAGATAATACAACAAGGCAAAAAAACTAAAATAAAATTAAAAATGGAAATTTGTCCCTATTTACAGATGATGGGATTATTTACATTGAAAATCCCAAAAAATCTACAAAACACTCAACATACAAACATGTGGGATTAGGAATGTTTCAGTACACAAGTCCTATACAACAAAAAATATACATTTATATAAACTAGCAATAAGTAATTGAATACCCATATCATAAAACAAATTTTCAATAGCTACAAAAATGAAATAATTAGGTAAGTCAAAAAGGTTTCTACAAGATCTGTATGATGCATACTATAAAATACTGATGGAAAAGATCCAGAAAAACATAAATACATGTAAAGATAAACTGAGTTCATGAACTTATGATTCAGATTAGTAAAGATATCAATTTTCTCCAAGTGGATCTATAGATTTAACTTAATTTTAATAAAACTTCATGCAGGATTTTTTTTGTAGGTTTATATATGCCAGTTTTTAAATGCTTAAAGAAAGTCGAAGAAACAAAAACAGCCAAAGGAAGTTTGAAAAATAAAATGAAATTGGAGGAATGACAGTTGCTAATTTTAAGACTTACTATACATGAGGACAGTGCTGTATTGGCAAAAGGATAAACACATACATCAGTGGAAGTGTGGAGAATCCAAATGTAGACACATTCAAATATGGCCATTTAATTTTTGATAAAAGTACAAAGACGATTTCAACAAGTCAGGCTGGAGCAATTGGACATCCAAATAAAAATGAATTTCTACACAAAAACACAAGCTGTATATAAAATGAACTCAAAATGAATCAAAGACCTTAATTTAAAACCGCAAACTATAAAACACTTACAAGAAAAGGTAGTAAAATATATTTGTGAGCTGAGGTTAGGCAAATAGTGTTTAGATATGAGAAGAAAAATGTGTAATGATAAACTGAACTTTATAAAAAATTTAAAAATATCTATGAAAATGATATTAAGTGAATAAAGCCAATAGAGAAATATAAATTAGCACATAATTAGCCAATACAGAAATGTAAGTTGAAACTATAAAAGAATATTGCTACATAACTGCCTGAGTGGTTTAAGTGAAAAATGCTGAAAATACCAAGTGTTGACAAGGCTTCAGAGCAACTCAATCTCTCATGCAAATCTGGTGGACTAAAAACTAGTACAGCCACTCTGGAAAAAAAAAATGTTAGGCAGTATTTTATAAAGAGACACACATATGTGGGAACTTCATTCTTTGGTATTCACTCAAGAAATATAAAAACTTTTGTTCATGTAAAAAACAGTACACAAATCCTTATAAAACTTTCTTTTTATATTTGCAAACAACTAGAAGCTACTGAAATGCCCATTAGTGGGTAAAAGGAGATACACACTTTGGTACATCCATATAATAGAATATAACAGCAGTAAAAAGGAATGGGATAGTTATTCATACAACTTGGGTGGATATCAAAGACATATGCTGAATGAAAAAAATCCATTCTCAAGAAGTCACATACTATATGTTTCCATTTATATGATATTCCTGAAAAGGCAAAACTATAGTGAGGGAGAATCAGTCTGTGATTGTAAGAATTAAGGACGCGTGGAAAGTGTGCCACTGAAAAGGAATAGCAAAGAGGGAGTTTATGGAATGGCGTAACTGCTGTATCCTGACTGTGCTACTGGTCACGTGAATCTCTACATGTGTTGAAATTCATGGAACTTTATACAAAAAAAATTCCCACTGAATATTTGTATGAAAATATTAATGTTAATAGTAAAAAAGAAAAATAATTATGAGAAGAATTTCTAAACTTGATTATCCATATAAAGTCTAGAATCTCATTTAAAAAATATCCCCTTGCTTATTAAAATTTCTCTACAAGTAAAAGTGCCATTTGGTCTGTGATAAGAGGAAGGAAGGAAGGAAGGAAGGAAGGGAGGGAGGGAGGGAGGGAGGGAGGGAGGGAAGGGACAAGGGAGGGAGGGAAGGAGGGAGAAGGAGGAAGGCAGGGAGATGGAAATTTATCACTAATCAAATAGAATGACAATTCTATGGTTTCAAAATTTATTTCACATGAACACAAACATTAATGAGCAGGTTCTAAATATATAACCTGAAAATACAATTGTAAGACAAATCCATTTATATATTATTATTTGTATGTTGATGTAATAAAGTGAACAGCAAAGAACTGAAAAAAAATATTTCAAATCTGAATTGTGTGTCTTTTCCACTCTTCTCTACGGCTTTGCATAGTTACCCAGATGCAGTAGCTTAAACTTTCTGACTCTTCTGTTGAAGTGATAATAAGCCACACTTTGCTGAGTTATTGTGGGGATTACATGAGAAAATGTATACTGTGATATATACTGAAATATACCATTTATATTTCTGACAACTACCAAGGAACAAATACCCTTGAGAAACATCATCGGTTAGCAATTTGATTGATGTACATTAGGTGCACTGCATTAATTGTTCAGAAGGCATACCTGTTCGGAATGGGACATTTTAGTGGAACAAAATACATATAACTAAACAACCAAATAGTAAAAGTAAACAAATATGAAGCCACGAAGTATCACAGAGACAAAAATACAAAGCCTTTCAAAAGAATTCACAATAGGCTCATTCATTTGAAGTGGAAAAAAAAGAAAAAATAAAAATAAAAATAAAATAGATTGGAATGAAAGTTTCAGCATAAATTTTCAGTGTTGTGATAGTGTATATTTACAGATAATCCAAAAAACTTCATAAAGAGTCTTCTTATGTGTATTTTTGCTATTCACTCCCACCTCTATATTCTCCTTCCCACGATACATGGAAACACATTCACAATCCAGTTTGTCACAAATTAACCGAAGGGAACTTTAGAATTAAAACCAGGCTTGCCCACATCCCTTCTCAGATGCTCTAATGGCTACCACTGTGCTTAGGGAAGAAAGGAAAAAAAAAAAAAAAGAGAGAAAGAGTCTTGGCACAATGGCTCACGCCTGTAATCCCAGCACTTTGGGAGGCCGAGGCGGGCGGATCACAAGGTCAGGAGATCGAGACTATCCTGGCTAACATGGTGAAACCCCGTCTCTACTAAAAATACAAAAAAATTAGCCGGGCGTGGTGGCGGGCGCCTGTAGTCCCAGCACTTTGGGAGGCCGAGGCGGACGGATCACCTGAAGTCAGGGTTCCACACAAGCCTGGCCAACATGGTGAAACCCCGTCTCTACTAAAAATACAAAAATTATCCGGGCGTGGTGGCGGCGCCTGTAGTCCCAGCTACTCGGGAGGTTGAGGCAGGAGACTGGCATGAACCCGGGAGGCGGAGCTTGCAGTGAGCCGAGATCGCGCCACTGCACTCCAGCCTGGGCAACACAGCGAGACTCCGTCTCAAAAAAAAAAAAACCAAACCAAACCAAAACAAACAAACAAACAAACAAACAAAAAACAGAGAGAGGGGGAGAGAAAGAGAAAATGTTTTCATGGCCTACAGTAACGGTCCTTGTTTTCCATTCACATTGGCTTCTTTTTCGTTTCCCAGATGTGTCTAACTCATTCATTCTATTCGGCCTCTGAACATGTACACTCTAGAACGCTCTCTCCATGGTTCTTAGTACAGCTAGTCTACCGGTATCCCTTGGATCTGTGTTTAGATGGCACCTTCTGTAGAGGCTTTCCGACAACCATATTTAAACGGACTTCTTTCAGTTACTGTCAACTTCATTCATATAACTTATTTGTAATTATCTAGGCTTTTTATTTATATTTGTGTGAAGTATATATCATTCCTAGAAGAATATAAGCTTCATCATTCATATCTTATTAGTTCCAGCAGTTAGAAGAATGTCTAAAATAGAAGAGAGATGTTTGCAGCATTAATTTTGTTGTTGAATTGCATTAACCTTTATTTTTTCATCAGGTAGCTTATCTTTGAATGATCCTGAGTATAAAAGGGGAAAAAAGAAAAGAAAAGAATGAATCTCAATTTATAATAGCGTTAAGGAAAAAAAATAAAATGATTAAAATATGCCCAAGCAAAAGTTGCTTTCTACATAAATATTAAGATTATATTTCTATTTAATAAAATTAGAGTTCTTTTTGAACCGAGCCCTGTTTAATACATGTTATCTGGCCTAAGCTTATTGATTTTCTTTTCTTATAAACCAAATATATGTATACCCTAACATCTAAATGTTAGTTCAAACACTTAAATTTTCACTGTAACAATGTATTTTGGTTTGCAAAAGAGAAAAGTCTACGACTGCCAAGACCATTCTTGTCAGAAATGTGATTTATTTTTAAAATATTCTGTTTCTTAAACTACAAGTGGTTTAATCAGAAAACTGATTCAGAGAAATGGCTTTCCAGACAAAATATATTGAATTAATTATTTTCTTAGAATTAACTACTTTTAATTTTTCTCCTTTATGTTGTTAAAATTTAATAAATAAAATTTACCAAAGGGAACTAAGTCATTTGGGTTTAGATGCTCACATTCTTTGGCATTAGCTTTCTGGAGACACAAGGACATTGTCCTCTCTTTATGCTTAACACCCTAGATGCATCTGTCTGTCATCTTTTTTAATTTAAACAGGCAACATTGAGGATTCTTAACAATACCTCTGACCCCTGAGAAACAGGATATATAGCAGCCCATTAATTAATTGTTTGAAATGAAGGAATATGGCACATCAAATACCATGCCTCTCTGCTCCATTGCACAGCACACCCGCGCTACACTGTCCATTTATATTTCTGACGACTACCAAAGAGCCAATACCCTTGAGAAACATCCTAAGTTAACAATTTGATTGATGTACTTTAGGCAGTCAATGACTTGTTCTATCTGGAGTATTTTCGTATTTTGCATGAAAGAAAGATGGTCAAAATATGTATCAGACCTCAAATCAAATTAAAGCCCAGAAGATTTCATTGCCATTCTGCTTTTTGTTTCATACATAAATTTACATAAAATTGAGTTACTTAAGATTTCATATCTGTTTCAATTTTCTTCCCATTTTAGACATTCTAAAATGAAAAGCGATTTAATAGAACACTGCATTAATTGTTTTAGGAGAGTTACACAATCAACTCAGCTATTTTCTAATTTAACTTCGGGAGACACTATTGTTCTTTTGCATATTCTCCCTAGTTATAATTTGTAAATTATTCACATTCATAGCCACTAAAAGAAACATTAACAGAAAGAGTGTTATCAACAGGCAGTAAAATGACAACTGGGAGGCCTGGACTTTCCTTTAATATTTTAAATGATCATTTGACCTTCATGAAGGGAATTTATCTTGCATAGTATCATTCCATAAGAATTAATAATTATATACACTGAAGACTTTTGAGTGAGGTGTCTGTCAGTTACTTTCTTTTGACACAAGTAAGCATTAAGAGTATTCCTATTGTTGGGACCAATAAAGTACTAGTACTTTTACTAATATAGTAACCATTAAGAATAATCCAGTTTATTAGATATATTAAAAGTTTGACGGTGAGTTTCTGAATACCTTTACAGAAGGTCATGTTCAACTTAAAAACCTACATTATAAAAACTGACAGAAATGTCAGTTCTGAGAAGACTGACAGCCACACTTAACATATAATATTTCTGACTTCAGAATTAAATAATTCTTATACAGATGATTGTAAATCTTGCCTTACATGTTTTCCGCCGATCTACTACACTAAGAATATCTGCATTTGGTTGAAGTTTAAGCAAATCCCTGTTGGGGGTGTTGTTGTATAAGGAATTAACTATTTTTGTCTGTGGCCCATTTGCTGTTCTTTTCCATCTCAATAGTTTGATTAATCTCTACTGGGTATTAGGAATTAGGACCTACTGTTAAAAGTTCTCAAATATCTCAATTCATTGCTGCATTTTTTCTTATGATAATTCCTGAATCCGTAACACGCCTGCAGTACCCAGTTTTCCTGTTAGTTTTGTTTTGTACTTCTTTCCTGCATGCGTTAACCAGACATTTCCTTTCCTCTATAATAATAATTCACTGTGAATCTTTCATTTTGCTGTTTAGAGACCCCTTAACATCCTTTTTTGACTATATGAATACATGTCTTTTCTGTTGAAACATAACCTAAGGGAGCAAACGTACTTTTTTATTATTATTATTCAAAAGGGTTAGTCTTATGCGCTACTAGCTCATTATTCGTTTTATTCTATTCTGTCCTTCAGTTGAACTGAATAAAAGATGCACAGAAAGATGAATCTTAAAAAGGAGAATAAGTTATCTCTTCAAGCAAATGGAATTCAGCTCACACTTCACTACAAACTCAGGTGGATAGTATAGCATTATAACTTCAATTTACTAAAATATAATATTCCTCAAATATGTTGGGAATTAAAAGGTATTTTTAATATTACATAACCTCTTTACCATATATTGCTCACATAGGTAATACCAGTATTCCAATTACTGGGGGTAGGTAGTGGTGGGGCTCAAGAAAAAAAACAAAATAAAAAAACCAAAAAAGTTTTGGTTACCTACATTTGAGGTTTACAGGGACTAATTCTTTCTGAAAGTCATGATTCATGAACATTTGAGTCTCCCTTATCACTGACCAGCCACAGGACCATAAAATGAAGCAACACACTGCTCTGTTCTCAATATTTTCAAACACTGTGCCTTTCTTTCCTACTAGATTTTTGCCTTCTAAATCAGTTACAAAATTGTATTTATCATTGTAGGCCTAAAGCTTAGCATAGTTTCTTGCTCTTCTCATGCTGATAGAAAGAATGGAAGCAAGAATGAAAGAAGAATGCAGATGAGGAGGCAGGAAGACAAAAAATGTAGGAGAAAAACAAATTGGCACAATAGTCTACCTACTTTACAAAGCTATTGTAAAGACGAAATATGTGGAAAATGCCTGAAAAAGAAAACATTATAGTAAAAATATTATGTATTTGTTTTGCTATATGCCAGGCACTATTATATGCATGTATGTATACACACAGATATATGTGTATTTTGTACATGTATATATGTGTATACATATATATGTGTGTGTGTATTTGTATGTGTATATATATGTGTGTGTTTATATACATGTATGTGTGTATATATGTATGTGCATGTGTGTGTGTGTATTCCAAGTTTTTCAACAACCCTTTGAAGTTGATGCTATAGCTTTCATATTACAGGGAGGAAACTGTGTCTCTAGGAAGAAAAGTAAACTTTCTAAGATTTCAAAGCTGGAAAGTGGCAGAAACAAGATTTTCACCCAGTCTGTCTAACCAAAGAGCACCTTATTCTAATATTCATTTAAAAATGAAATGTTATTTAATTTCAATTTGAGAAAAATTATAATCTACCTTAGTTCAAATAAGGCTAATTCATTAAAATGAGAATTTATCTATTGTATTTTTTTATCTCTCTCCTGACTTTCAACATTTCATCAAGCAAGAAAACAAGAAGGAACAAATGAATGAAAGAAAGAAGAAAGGAAAAACGGAAAGAATGAGAAAGAGAGAAGAGAAAGAGGGGAAGGGAAAAGAGAGGAAAGAAAGGAAGGGGAGTGGGAGGGAGGAGGGGGAAGGGAGGGAAGGAGGAAGGAAGAAAGGGAGGAAGGGAGGAAAGAAGGTAGGGAGGAAAAGAGAAAAGAAGGAAGGGAGGGAGGAAGGGAGGCAGGCAGGCAGGGAGGGAGGGAGAAAGGAAGGAAAGAAGGTAGAGAGGTAGGAAGGAAGGAAGAAAGGAAGGCGGGAAAGAAGGAAGAAAGGAAGGAAAGAAGGTAGAGAGGTAGGAAGGAAGGAAGAAAGGAAGGCGGGAAAGAAGGAAGAAAGGAAGGAAAGAAGGTAGAGAGGAAGGAAGGAAGGAAGAAAGGAAGGCGGGAAAGAAGGAAGAAAGGAAGGAAAGAAGGTAGAGAGGAAGGAAGGAAGGGAGGAAGGAAGGAAGGAAGGAAGGGAGGGAGGGAGGGGAAAAAGGGAAAAGAAAAGAGAAAGTCTCTTCTGTCCTCCAAGCCCACATTTTTAAACTGTCTATGGTTTCAAATATTTCTGATCATCACATTGTTGCAGATTCGAGGTGTGCATTATGAAATTTTTACTTTCTATATTTGGCATCAATTAAAAAACCTACATTATTATTTTCTAGGGTATTACTCAGATAAATTCATTTGATGATAGCTAGTGGATCTTTTGAAGATATCATTTTCAATTCAACAAAAGAATGGTTTCAGCATACTCTAAGAAATTAGAAATCAATCCCCAATATTATATATTTTATCTCCTTTATTTAACTGCTCTAGGTCATATTATTATTATTAGACAGATTCTTGCTCTGCTGCCAGGCTGGAGTGCAGTGGCACGATCTCAGCTCACTGCAACCTCCGCCTCCTGGGTCCAAGTGATTCCCCTGCCTCAGCCCCCCAGGTAGCTGGGATTACAGGCATGCGCCACCAAACCTGGCTAATATTTTGTATTTTAGTAGAGATGGGATTTCACCATGTTGGCCAAGATGGCCTCCATCTCCTGACCTCGTGATCCACCCGGCTCGTCCTCCCAAAGTTCTGGGATTACAGGCATGAGCCACTGCGCCCAGCCTCTAGGTCATATTATTAAAATTAATTGTCTAGCCTTGTCAGGTATATGTTGAAAATATTTGCCTAGATATCTAGTCCTCAGGTTCTCTCTGTACAGGGTTATAGATATATTATTTATGAATGATAAAGTAAAAAGCTATACCTAGGTTTTCGCCATAACATTGAAATTTACAACTCAGAAATCTAACATCGATTGTTTACTTCATATTCCAAATGCAAAAATTTTCAGTACAATTACAGACAATAATAGGAATTAAAATATATTTATAAATTTAATATAATCACTATATACATATACATAGTTTTAAACTAAGTGGCTACAAATACAGCTGATGCCCCTTTGTGCCCCTGCCCGACCTAACTGTGTACTTCCCCTTATGCTCATGGGCAGTGTTAATAAATTCGAGGCTTATCTTTCCATTAAAAATAGATATGTACATATGATACATTTTTCACTAAAAAATGTATATGAATTTTATCATATTGTATGTAGCCTTCTCCAAATTGTTTTCTATTCAACATTATGGATAAAGTCCTACCATTAAATAAATATTTAAATGTATAAATAAGAACTTGATAATCCTGCATCCTCTTCAACTACACAGCTCTCTTTTTCTTCTCATCTATTTTCTGTGTAGTTCCAGCTACTTGGGAGGCTGAGGCAGGGAAATCACCTGAACTCGGGAGGCGGAGCTTGCAGTGAGCCAAGACCGCATCACTGCACTCCAGCCTGGCGACAGAGCGAGACTCCGTCTCAAAAAAAAAAAAAAAAGAAAAAAAAAAAGTGTTTTCTGCAGCTGCTCTTGCTACACCCACGCCTCCCAGTTCCCTTTGTCTTTTACTCTGGTCACTCTATAGTTCTCATTAAGATTATTCATTACTTTTGCCAGATATATTTAGATATCATTTTACTTTTACTTTTCAATATAATTCAAAAATTGTTATGACTTCTTTATTCTTGATTTTTTCTCTTCTGATCAGCTCTACTCTATGATTTACAACACCACCTTAGATTTCGAACTGGATATTTACATATTTGTTTCCTGCCTATACTTTTTCTCTATCAATAATCACAGATCTAGTTTAAGCAAAGATTGTAAAAAATTCTTAGCAAATCTTATCACAAAATATTACTTGGGCTTACGGACAAATTCCCGAAACCTAATGCTTCCATCTTTCTTTCTACTGTTTAGTTCATTCTGCTGGCACTTTAAAACAAGATATATTTAAAAATAAATAATAATCTATGCAAACCAGTTTTTAGTCAAATAGAGTGCCTCTAGAAACCTACTATTTAAGAGCACTATTAAATTTTGAATTTGTTTGGTAGTCTTGAATTGTTCTCTTTCTGAAAATCTTTGGCTTATATTTCATATATTGTGTAAAACAAACCCCAACGTTGACATATTAGGGCAAAAATCACTGTAAGAGTTACAACAAAAACTACAAGAGCTGGATCTTAGAGGAGTCAACAGCTTCAGGTACAACTTGGTGAAGAATGCTGCCCGAGAACACTTCTACAAGACAGCCAAGTGGCATGGCAACCAAGTTGCCCACTTAGGCTCTCTATTTTGGAAAAGATAAATACTTGATTAAAAGAGCAGAGAGCCACCAGCACTCGGGTGTGGATATGGTTTTATGCAAAGTGTGGCATACTGTACTTCCATGGAAGTGCAAAACCACATAGTAGTAGAGTGTAAAGTCTATACCCCCAAATATCTGTGTGATCTTTGGAAAATTATACATTCTTTGTGAGTCTCAATTTCTCTACCAGTAAAATGAAAATTACAGTCATACTCACTTATTTGAGATATTTAGAAGGATTATGAATTTCAAGAATATAAATGTTCAATGTGTAAATTACAATAATTAATAAACGGTCACACTTATGATGTTAGTTTGGAAAAACTGTACTAAACTTCCCTAGATAGCTAGAGAAACAGTATATTTTGCTTATTTGGATTGTTTTATCTCTAAAAATTCAAACAAATAATACTATAGCTCTGTTTCTTCTGTGAAATTTAAAAAGCCATGTTGATGAAAGATCAAATACAAAAAGAAACTCTGTTATGCAAATAAAACTGATTTGATCGAATGGACCTTTCAAAAATAGAGTAAACACACATACACACACCAAGAATATGTGATCATATACATCCTTATGTCAAATATTTCAGTTATTCAAACACTTGTTTTATTTTAAAAATTTGGATTCTGTTTCTTTTTGTAGCAATAGCACTAAGCAAAAACAAATAGATATGTAGGCACTAAACATTGTTAATTCTGCAATAGCTGGGATTCAGCGTTTCTTAAAACATTAAACAAAATAAAACAATAAAGCTGTATTAGTTTATTTGGGCTACTATAACAAAATACCATTAATAAGGTGGCTTTTAAGCAACAGAAATTTATTTCTCGCAGTTCTGGAGATTGGAAAGTCCAAGATCAAGGCAATGATCTTGAGTTGGTATTTGATGAAGGCCTGCTTCCTCACAGACAGCATCCTTCTTCCTATATCCTCACATGGAAGAAATATTGGGGCTCTCTCAGGCCTCTTTTGTAAGGACATTAATCCCATTCATGAAGGTTCTATCCTCATGACCTAATCACCTTTCAAAGGTCTCACCGTCTAACATCATCACATTGGTGATTACATTTGAATATATGAATTTTGAGGGCACAAAAACGTTCACACCTTTGCAAAAGCCAACCAACACACATTAAGAAGCAAACAAAAACAGGATCAGTTTTCATTAGAGTACAAATCCCAAAGATTTTGAATAGGAAATAGTACATAATTTCTCTAGTTTACTTAGTTACATATATTAGTCACAGTTATGGAAAGGGTAGGCAGAAGGTCATTAATATTATTGAGCTATCTGCTGAATAGATTTTACATTAAACAAATATATAATTTGGACAAATTACTGGCTAATATATTCTTTTAGAATTAGATGCTTTGCTTAATTATCAATATTTTAAAACTGATTTATGGTAGTCTATTCTCAGTCATAGTTGTGATCATTTTAAAGTGAAGACATATACCAAATCACATCACTTCTTGGAAAAAAAACAAAAACAAAAATTCCCATCCCTCTCCTAACTCACTCAGAATAAAATCTCATGCCCCTACCTTTGCTTACCAGGTGGTCCCAGTTACTACAACCTTATGATTATTTTCCCAGACCTAAAATTCTATCTTTACTCTTTTTACTCAGTGGGCCTCAGTCACTCATCTCCTTTTTCACTTTTGAATGTGCCAATCATGCTTATTGCAGTGTTACATTTACTGTTCCTTATGGTTTGAAATTTTTTTCCTAATACATCTGAAAGACTTCTTCATTATCACTTCATTCAGGTTTCTGCTCAAATGCTTCTATATCTGGAATAGTACCTTACTCAACCCACAGTTTACCACGCTGTAAAGCAGCTTTCATCTTCATAGCTCTTATCACCATTAACATAATAGACATTGACCTGTTTACATTCTGTTTGTTCCCAGTTGAATGTAAATTCCAGGAGAGCAGGAATTTATTTCCCATTTGTATTTGCAGCACCTACGAGAGTTCTTGGCACATAATGGGAACAAAATATATATTTGTTGAATCATTCAATCAACTGAATGAATGAATGAATAATAATATAGTCATTAAGGACTTTTTAAAGTTTAAGTATTTGAAGTTGGCAATTAAAAGAATACAGATCTCTGGATAACAGGCAGATAGAAGATAAAAATACTGATTTGTGTTTTATGTCTTTAATATTTTAATTTAGATGCTAAAAATGTTGCTAGATAAAAAAGTACTCCTTGGAATCTGCTAGTATAGGTTCATGTTATTTTACCATAAAGATGATAATTATACATTCTTTATCAGCCACTAATTTAAATTCTTTAAATATGTTATAAAATTTCAGTCCTATTCACTTGCTAATTTGACATAAACTTCTTTTAAAGAAGCTACATTGTATTACATGTTATGTGTATGTCATTCTAATCTCAAGTTTAACTTTTCCTTTTTTCTACATAAATGAGTCACACAGTGTAAAAGGGAGATTTTCAAATCGTCACTAGAGATTAAAAGAGTGATCCCCTCCCTAATATGTGAAACTTGAAGGAATTAGATTAGAAAATATTTTGATGGAAAACATAGGTTGATTGTGCTGCCACAAATACCATAATTGCAAAACAAAGAGGAAGGGAAAAGGGGAAGGCACAATAGATTATTTGTATGACTCCCAATCCTGTGTTGTACATGCACACACATAAACAAACACACACAGATTCATTAGTGTATCTTGATCGTGAGTGATGCCTCCTGTCAAAAAATAGACAGACTCTGTGGAGCCCTACACAGAGGAAGAGAACTGAAGCACTACCTAGTCAGTAGCTGGGGCTACAGGTATTATGAGTGACCTGGTGAAGAGGGACTGATGGTAATGAGACATCCAATAATGCTTATTTCATAGACTGGCTTGAAAGGTCCCTTTTCTTGTCGGATTTAACCTTAACAAGCAGCCAAATCTAGGTTGTGTTGAATAAATGTAAAATTCAATGTCCTATCACCTTACAATATTACTTCTTCTCCACACAAATAACAGAATCTTTAGGAAGCTGAAAATCACAATAACTTTAATCCCTTTCCCATTGGTTTTGCTCTGATATTGAATAAGGTGTGGAGGATTTCCACAGTCACTTAGGAGCCTTACTTGGTTTCTGCTATGGAACAAAGAACACTTAGGTCTGTAAGTTTGAGCACACAGGGAAAAAAAACACAGATACAGACACGTAAAAAAACTCTAAAAGTTTAAATAGCAAAAATAGATAATAACATGTATTCCACAATAAACATGGGTCAAGTATTACTTTGAGCTTTTTATAGGTATTGAGTAATTTATTCATTTAAAAAAATCAAATATAATACTTAAAATTACAAAGGTAATTATTTCCAATTTGTCTTTTTTTATCCATATATATAGATATGGATCTATATATGAATGGATATAGTTATAACTATGTAGATATTAATTTTCTATATAAGCATTAATTAAATAGGAAATGATAGTAAACATGGCAAATTATGCCTAAATTATATTTTAAATGTTAATTTAAAAGCAGAGAATATAATTATGGCAAATAATTTAATACATTAATTTTCAAAGGAAATTCAGATTCTTGAAAAACAAACATAAAACAATTGAGGCAATTTTTCTACTTTATAGATGAGTAAATCAACTCAAAGAAAATTATATAAGTTGCTTATAAACACTTAGGAATAAAACACTTCCTAATCATGAGATAAAATGTAAAACTAGCTGGACACAGTGGCTCATTCCTATAATCGCAGCACTTTGGGGGGCTGAGATGGGCAGATCACTTGAGGTCAGGAGTTCGAGACCAGCCTCGCCAACATGGTGAAACCCCGTCTCTAATAAATTTACAAAAATTAGCTGGGTGTGATGGTGTGTGCCTGTAATCACAGCCACCCAGGAGGTTGAGGCAGGAGAATCTCCTGAAACCAGGAGGTGGAGATTACACCACCGTACTCCAGCCTGGGTAACACAGCAAGACTCTGTCTCAAAATAAATAAATTAATAAATAAATTAATTAATTAATATAATAAATAAGTAAAACAAAACATATATTAATAGTAAAACTTATATATAATTATCACAATCACATCAATATTCTATAAGTAACAGCATTCCACATTATAGAAAAAGATGATCTTTTAAAGTTATGTTTCAGATTATTATTAAATTGATAGCAACCATCAACCAAGCTATCCCAAATAAAATTAGGGAGCAATTTCATTTATGAATATAGTAGAAAATAATTTTTAATATGTCTAAAAAGTATTCAATATTATAATAAAACCTATAAAATCCAAATGTTTATTCTAATAATATGTATTATGTTGTATATTTGTATATTAAGATGTATAGTAATATATTTCACTGGTGTGATACTTTAAGGGAAGAAAATGAATGTAGATCACATCAATAGATGCTGACATATAATTTTATATAATTAAGCATGTGTTAATGAGTAAAGCAAATAATAAACTCCTGTTGGCTTAAGGGGTTATTCTTAAAAGTGGCATTAGATCTATCTGAAACCAACAGCATAAATTAATTACTACATGCGACCCTTCAAGCTCAAACACTTACAAGTAAAGCATGGAAACAAAGAATGAAAATAAATCATTTCAAAGACAAGGTTTATGAAAAAAACAACGTCTTTTGAAAAGTGTCTGTTCATATGCTTCACCCACTTTTTGATGGGGTTGTTTGTAAATCTGTTTAAGTTCTTTGTAGATTCTGGATATTAGCCCTTTGTCAGATGGATAGATTGCAAGAATTTTCTCCCATTCTGTAGGCTGCCTATTCACTCTGATGATAGTTTCTTTTGCTGTGCAGAAGCTCTTTAGTTTAATCAGACCTCATATGTCAATTTCGGCTTTTGTTGCCATTGCTTTTGGTGTTTTAGTCATGACACTTAATGCAGCCAACAAACATATGAAAAAAAGCTCATCACCACTGTTCATTAGAGAAATGCAAATCAAAACCACAATGAGATAGCATCTCACATCAGTTAGAATGGCAATCATTGAAAAGTCAGAAAACAACAAATGCTAGAGAGGATGTGGAGAAATAGGAATGCTTTCATACTGTTGGTGGGAGTGTAGATTAGTTCAACCACTGTGGAAGAGAGTGGGGTAATTCCTCAAGGATCTAGAACTAGAAATACCATTTGACCCAGCAATCCCATTAGTGGGTATATATCCAAAGGATTATAAATCATTCTACCATGAATACACATGCATACGTACGTTTACTGCAGCACTATTCACAATATCAAAGACTTGAAACCAACCCAAATGCCCATCAATGATAGACTGGATAAAGAAAATGTGGCATATATACACCATGGAATACTATGCAGCCATAAAAAAGGATGAGTT